>NW_025791762.1:0-166860 GCF_000001405.40 Homo sapiens | reverse complement strand
AGGGCACATGTGCACAACGTGCAGGTTTGTTACGTAGGTATATATGTGCCATGTTGGTTTGCTGCACCCATTTACTCGTCATTTACATTAGGTATTTCTCCTAATGCTATCCCTCCCCTAGCCTCCACGCTAGGACAGGCCCCTGTGTGTGATGTTCCCCGCCCTGTGTCCAAGTGTTCTCATTGTTCAATTCCCACCTATGAGTGAGAACATGTGGTGTTTGGTTTTCTGTCCTTATGATAGTTTGCTCAGAATGATGGTTTCCAGCTTCATCCATGTCCCTGCAAAGGACACAAACTCATCCTTTTTTATGGCTGCATAGTATTCCATGGTGTATATGTGCCACATTTTCTTTCTTTCTTTCTTTTTGTTTTATTTTATGGAATAAAAAGTTCAGCCTTTTTATTGCATGAAACTAAAATTGGGAAAGGTGGGAGTGAATGGGGTGGGAGGGTTTGAGGGGAGCAGGAGATGCCCTCCCTACCAGCTCCTGGATAATGACACCTCACTTCTTGCATAATTTCTGGCATCTTCCCGCCTGCAATGCAGGCTCTCTCAGCGTCTTGGAGAAGGGGGGATCACACACTCATCGTCATGCTTGGAGAATAATTGTCATTCTGAAAGGAGTGGAGGAAGTTCCCTCCTAACTCTCCGTCATCTCGAGGGGTGCCTGGAGGATTGCTAATACTATTTACGTTGTTAGGAGAATTTTTTGGAAGCCATCTATGTCGCCTGACCCTAACAATCCGTTCATGTGGTGTGGCTCCATGCCGCCCATGCTGCCCATCCGACCGTCCGAGCCGGGACCCATCGGGAAGTTGGACCGGCTGCCTCCAGGCGGCACCGGATTAATCATTGTGTAGATGTCGCTGGAATTTGTTGAATCTGAGGGACTGGGCATAGTGGGTGTTCCTGGAGGGCCGCCACCACCAGGGGGTCCCACATAGGTACCAGGTGATGAGGAGGAGTATGGAATTGAGTTAGCACTGTTAGGATTGGGCCAGGGTCTGCCGGCTCCCGGGCCCATGTTAATCCCGGGCATGGGGGGCCGAGGGAATTGCGTGGTGGTCTCATGCCGCTGCCGTAATTCTGTGGGCTGGGACCCGTGGGCCCCATGCCTCGGGGAGGGTTCATTCTCTGCATTGATCCTCCCATGTGGGGATGGCCTTGTTGTCGTGCGGGATCCATGGAATTGGGCAGCAATGGCTGTGTCCCAGGAACTCCTCCCGGAGGCTGGTTTCCCATTCTGATCGGGGGGCCTGGGGCCGCCTGCGTATCGCGGTGACATGAAAGGCTGACTGTGGGGTCCCATCATGCTGCTAGGATTGTGAGGTGGAGGCTGTGCGTGCGGCGAGGGCTGTGACCCCGGAGGACCCTGGCGGGACTCGGCCTCCCCGCATCCTATTGTTGGGGGGAATGTTGCCAAGCACGGGGCTCAGGGCAGCTGCTGCACTAGAATCAGGAAAGGCTTTTGCTTCACTTGAATGTTCACAAGTGTCTCTCCTTTTAGTAGCTGCACAGTAAAGGTCCCAAAATACACACCACCACGAGTGCAAAAACCCAGGCGGTTCTCCCAACGCGATGTTTTTTTCCCAGCGAATCTCCGATAAGAAGGTCTGTGCAGATTTCTGTGCTCCTACCTGCAGTAAATATTCGTAGACGTATAAAGCTAACTTTTCCCCAGCCTGCCCGTCCGAGGGCACCAAGGAGCCTTTGCCTTTGGCAAACATGGTTTGCAGGGAAGAGGGCGCCCAGCCTCCCCACAGCCGCCACCGCTCCCGCTCTCCCGAGCTGCCCCTCGCCCCCGGCCCCCTCCCAGGCGCTCCCTCCCTCTCTCGCTGGCTGGCGCTCTCCTAGCAGCGCTCCCCTCCCTCCCGAGCAGGCGCTGGCTCCGCGCTCTTTCCAGCTGTCAAAGCATCAGGCCCGGCCGCGGCCCCATCGCCCTGGAACTCCTCCCGCGCCGGCTTGGCCTGGGGTGCCGCCGCCGCCTCCCGCAAGGCCGCCCGCTCTCCGGTAGCTCGCGTGCTCGCCCGGTTCCGCTTGCGCGGCCCTCTGCGCCCCCAGCACCGCTGCCGCCGCCGCCGGCGCTGGCCTCATGTGTCACATTTTCTTAATCCAGTCTATGGCTGATGGATATTTGCGTTGGTTCCAACTTTTTGCTATTGTGAATAGTGCCGCAATAAACATACCTGTGCATGTGTCTTTATAGTAGCATGATTTATAATCCTTTGGGTATATACCCAGTAATGGAATCGCTGGGTCAAATGGTATTTCTAGTTCTAGATCCTTGAGGAATCGCCACACTGTCTTCCACAATGGTTGAACTAGTTTACACTCCCACCAACAGTGTAAAAGCGTTCCTATGTCAAGCAATGGCAACAAAAGCCAAAATAGACAAATGGGATCTAATTAAACTAAAGAGCTTCTGCACAGCAAAAGAAACTACCGTCAGAGTGAACAGGCAACCTACAGAATGGGAGAACATTTTTGCAATCTACCCATCTGACAAAAGGCTAATATCCAGAATCTACAAATAACTTAAACAAATTTACAAGAAAAAAACAAACAACCCCAACAAAAAGTGGGCAAAGGATATGAACAGACACTTCTCAAAAGAAGACATTTATGCAGCCAACAGACACACGAAAAAATGCTCACCATCACTGGCCATCAGAGAAATGCAAATCAAAACCACAGTGAGATACCATCACACAGCAGCTAGAATGGCAGCTTAATTTTTAAAATGCTATATCAATAATTTAACCACATAGATCTGTCAGTTAGAATAAATGTTACATATTTAATTGACAATAATTTTTTGCTCTCTTAGAGACGTGTAGATACACTTTGGGTTTATCAAATGGTTCTTTTTTTTTTCTTTGAGATGGAGTCTCTCTGTGTCACCAGGCTGGTGAGCAGTGGTGCGATCTTGGCTGATTACAACCTCTGACTCCTGGGTTCAAGCGATTCTCCTGCTTCAGCCTCTCAAGTAGCTGGGATTACAGGCATGTGCCACCACGCCCAGCTAATTTTTATACTTTTAGTAGAGACGGGGTTTCACCATGTTGGCCAGGATGGTCTCAATTTCCTGACCTCAAGATCCACCCGCCTCGGCCTCCCAAAGTGCTGGGATTACAGGTGTGAGCCACTCCGCCAGGCCAGTTCTGACATATTTTTAGAAAGATTAGGCAAATGCTATGGTAACTCAGTTATTCATGATACATGTCATATTATAAGTAGGAGAATTCAATATTCATGATTTTGAAGCAATTTCAGAGTACTATAATCACCCCACTTCACAGACTTCAGAATTCATTGGAAATCTCTGGAAATAATTAGCAAGTTATTAGCCCAGACTCTAAACAGACCTTCAAAATGCATTACATAGATTTGCTAAAAGAGATTGTCAGTCTGCCATAGTCACTTTGGTTTGATTTGCATTGAATGAAATTTTTAAAATGTAAAGCTAAACTCTTCAGGATCACTGCACTGGTTTCTATGGGACAACACTGAACAGGGCTGCCACTGAAACACCTTGGATGAGAGCCTCAAACTCCCTGAACATATAGCATCTAGCACACTACTGAGAGAATGACTGGGACTCAAAAATGCATGCAATGAATTTATTTATGAGCTTCTTGGAGAGGAAGTAAAGAGGTTGTATGTAATTACCTCAAATTAGCACTACTACAGATAAAGTAACAATATTGATAAAGTAATTGATAAAGTAATAGTAGTGCTAAAGTCATACTAATCAAGTAGTACTAATAGCCCTATACTAGTAGTAACAATAAAGTGGTATTGCTATTGATTCTATTGGTCTGTCTACCTACCTATCTCTCTAGATGGGAGGGCGTAGGATTTGGCTGATGAGATTGGGCTTAGCAGTGGAGAGCAAAGAGCTCATGCATGCTTTGAACAGGTACGCACACAAACTTGGTATCGTGTGACTCTTCTGAATTCCAGAACCAAGGCTAAAAGGTGGAAGTTTTGTTTTGACTATTTGTGTGTCACATTTTCCTTTTGGTCTATTGTCTAACATATGCTGCTAGAATTCTTTTTACTCTGACTACTTTTTAGGTGGTTAGATAACGCTGTTATTGACGAGATCACACCCAAGCTGATCAGAGATCTGCCCAATTCTTGCACCTACCGCAAGGCCTTGGGAGAAATGGTGGTGCAGCAGGAGAGCAGAAATGTAACCATCGCCATCATAAGGCCCTCCACTGTGGGAGCGACGTGGCACGACCCTTTCCCAGTAAGCCCACTCACCTGAATTCTGTATTTTGCTTCCAAATTAAAGTTCTTCTAGCCCAATTACTTTCTGATGTCATTTCTCCCCCTCCTCCTCCTTCTCTTCCTTCTTCTTCTTTCTTCCTCTTCTTCTTCCTCTTCCCCTTCCCCTTCTCCTCCTCTTCTTCCTCCTCAGGATGTATAGCTAAGTGCAGCCAATCATATATCAACCCATTGTACTAGGGCAAAATTCCACTTTGGGATCAGGATTTACCCAGCATGCAGCTTCTCTGGCAGTTACCCTGACTGTCCTAGAGTTGAATGGAGATCTTAAATTAGCTTCTAATTACTCTAGCCTCAAAATTCCCATGGGTGATGGTTTCATATCTTGGCTTTCCCACTGTAGTTTAAACATACCGAATGTTCTTAATGGTAAATTGGTAGTATTGCAACTGCCAGGGTAAACAAGGGTTACAAAGTGCACAGAAGGATCTCAGCTTGGGAACACTGTTTTTTCTAACCTCAGTATAGCGCTATGTCCTTTTGAAAGTACTTTGAATTATACTATCTTCTTTTTTTTATTATACTTTAAGTTCTAGGGTACATGTGCACAACGCGCAGGTTTGTTACATATGTATACATGTGCTGTGTTGGTTTGCTGCACCCATTAACTCGTCATTTACATTAGGTATTTCTCGTAATGCTATCCCTCCCCCATCCCCCCACCCCATGACAGGCCCTGGTGTGTGATGTTCCCCGCCTTGTGTCCAAGTGTTCTCATTGTTCAATTCCCACCTATAAGTGAGAACATGCGGTATTTGGTTTTCTGTCCTTGTGGTAGTTTGCTCAGAATGATGGTTTCCAGTTTCATCCATGTCACTACAAAGGATATGAATTCATCCTTTTTTATGGCTGCATAGTTCTCCATGGTGTATATGTGCCACATTTTCTTAATCCAGTCTATCATCGATAGAGATTTGAGTTGGTTCCAGGTCGTTGCTATTGTGAATAGTGCCGCAATAAACATACGTGTGCATGTGTCTTTATAGTAGCACGATTTATAATCCTTTGGGTATATACCCACTAATGGGATCGCTGGATCAAATGGTATTTCTAGTTCTAGTTCCTTGAGGAATCGCCACACTGTCTTCTACAGTGATTGAACTAGTTTACACTCCTACCAACAGTGTAAAAGCGTTCCTATTTCTCCACATCCTCTCCAGCACCTGTTGTTTCCTAACTTTTTAATGATCGCCATTCTAACTGGTGTGAGATAGAATTATACCATCTTCTTTAAAGCAAGTCTGTGAAGCTTTGGGGCAGATAAATTCCAGCTCCATCACTTACTGGCAATGCAAAATTTTTGAGTTGTCCCTTCCATAAAACAAGAGGGATACTATTTTGGAGAGGTGGTTTAATGAGACAATGTATGAGGAGTGCTCAGTCTCTAGTAAAAGGCAGGTCCTTACTACAAGGTTCATGGATATTAATCCCTTCATCTTCTCCTCCTGCCTCTCTCCTTTCCCATTATACACACACATTTTGACTTCTACACTATGAGGTAAACAGACATAATAAGGTCAGCTGAATGGCTTAGAGTTTAGGGAACAAACTCAAAAAGACATTTCCCTCTAACTGGTCTTAAATATAATCTTCCCTGTAATGTCTTTAAGCAAGTCAACACACAATACACACACACACACACACTACATATACACACACACACACATATATATGTGTGTATCTGGCATGGTCAAAATGTGTATCTGTAGCTGGTCAAAAATGTCAAGAAATGGGCCATTACTACCAATCATGTCTCCAATATTCTCCTAAGGAGGCTAAAGTCAGGACTGAGGTGGAGAAGTATGGTTGGTGAATTGCTTAGCAGATCATGATATAAGGACAAGGTTCAATGTAGCCCTTAAGATGTCATAAAACACCACAAAACCATTCCTGACTCCTGCTATGAACAACAATCCTGGCCAAATTTTAATTCTTGCGCAAAGTGCAGAAAATAGCCAATGCTTTGCCATTGATCTTTGGGATCTTAATAAGACTGAATTAGATAGTTCTATTGGCTGGAGTTTCAGTGCTCTTGTTTGAAATTTATTAAGATGAGACTGCAGATGTTCCAAAGATACAACAATCTTCTGAAATGTGTAACCAATAGAAATCTTCTTTC
Organism: Homo sapiens; assembly: GCF_000001405.40. Taxonomy (NCBI): domain Eukaryota; kingdom Metazoa; phylum Chordata; class Mammalia; order Primates; family Hominidae; genus Homo; species Homo sapiens. Next base: position 160,445 of record NW_025791762.1, on the reverse strand, counting down.
TTTTAGGGTTGGGTTGATAATCTAAATGGACCTAGCAGACTCGTTATTGTGGTATGTTTAAGGATAAAGAAATAACCCTCTGAAATGTAGTGGAGGAATAGTAATAAAATTCTTAGTGCTGGCTTAGCTTCATTGATTCCAAAACATAAATGTTACTTTACTAACAATTGAAGCATATTATTTCAATTATGCTGATTGTAATATAGAGGTAGGAAGAAATTATTTTTATTCTTTGAGGATTTTTATCAAAAAAACAAATTAATGTACTATCAATTACCATTCAGGAATTCTTCTTTAAAAAACTTTTTTTAAATTAAAAATATTAGTCTTAATTGAGTGTGGATAATAGAAATCCCATAATTATGTTATTTTTATTAGATCCCTTCTCAAAATAGTTTTACACTATTTTATTCTCCTTTTGTAGTTTATAATATAATAAATATGTCAAAAACAATATGTACAACAGACTAATAAATGGTTCTGTTTAGCTAAGTCTACTCTAGTCTATATCATGAAAGTGTTAGGTCTAAATTTCTAAACATTATAAACAGCAATTTTTTGAAGTGCTCTGATTTTCCTAACAATACAATACTCCTGACTCTCTTAAGTTTACACATGTAAATGAGAAGGAACTATATATGAAAATATCATACCTCTTCTGTAGCTATTAGAATTTTCAGCTGAGGTTTTACATCATCACCAATGTAGTGTCACTCCTTTGCTCTGCAAACTTCAGCTCTCAATATATAGTTAACACTTTTATTTTCTGGAGATTTTTAGACTTTAAAGAACTCATTCAAGATTGTTTAAGAAACAAAGCACGGGATGAATTGAAGACTTTCATTTTAAAAGTAAGTGCAGCAAAATTATGAAGGTTAAGCCTGATGAATGTGAAAGGCAGACAGCATCAAATGCTGGTGATGCTGGTAGGAATGCAAATGTTACACCACTTACGAAGACAGTTGGTCAGCTTTTTACAAAACTAAGCAAACTCTTATCATATAATCTAGCATTAATGCTCCTTAGTATTTACCTAAAGAAACTGAAAACTTGTCCACACAAAAACCTGCACAATAATGTTTACAGCAGCTTAATTCATAATTGCCAAACTTGGAAGCAACCAAGATGTCCTTCATTAGGTAAATGGATAAACTGTAATACATGTATTGTATACATGAAATATTATTCAGCATTAAAAAGAAATGACCTATCAAGCCATAAAAAGACATAAAGGAATCTCAAATACATGTTTCTGAGTGAAGCCAATCAGGAAATGCTACATACTGTATGACTCCAGCTACATGACATTCTGGGAAAGGCAAAACTATGGAGACAGTTAAAAAAAATCAGTGGTTGCCAGGAGTTATGGGGGACAGAGGGATGAGCAGATGGAGTACAGAGGAATTTTAGGGCAGTGAAACTCTTCTGTATAATACTATAATTATGGATATTATGTTCAGATTTTTAAATAAAACTGAAATTTAAAATAGAGTAAGAGGGAATCAGGTTGATTTGTTTCAACTGAAATTCATGATCACAAAGCTCATGTCTTTATGCTTCCCAGAAAAAAATATTCCCTGCTCCATTCATTCTCATCCTTTCCCAGAGTAACAGTTCATATTTATTTTCTCTCCTTCCCATCTTTGCTCTTTGCTGATGACTTTATTTTCTATTTCACTTGTAAAAAAAAGTGGTCATTTGACAAGAATTTCAAAATCTCCAGTCTCTACATCTGCTCATCTTCATATATCTATACCTACATTCTGTTATCTCTCCTTTTCATATGGGTGAACTGTCTTTGCTTCTAAATAATGTCCACCCCTCTTACTGTGACTGGGTGCTGTGTCTTGTTGTATTAGGATTCTCTAGAGGGACAGGACTAATAGGATAAATGTATATATAAAATGGGTTATTAAAGAGTGTTGACTCGCACAATCACAAGGTGAAGTTGCACGATAGGCTGTCTGCAAGCTGAGGAGGAAGAAAGCCAGTCTGAGTCCCCAAATCCCAAAAGTAGGGAAGCCAACCGTGCAGCCTTCAGTCTGTGGCTGAAGGCCTGAGAGCCCCTGGCAAACCCCTGGTGTAGGTCCAAGAGTCCAAAAGCTGAAAGAACCTGGAGTTTGATGTTTGAGGGCAGGAAGCAACCAGCACGGGAGAAAGGTGGAGCCAGTCGAGCCCTTCCATATTTCTCTGCCTGCTTTTATCCTAGATGCACTGGCAGCTGATTAGAGGGTGACCACCCAGACTGAGGGTGGGTCTGCATCTCCCAGTTCACTGACTCAACTGTTAATCTCCTTTGGTGACATCCTTACAGACACACCCAGGAACAATACTTTGCATCCTTCAATCCAATCAAGGTGACACTCAGTATTAACCATCACACCTGTTATCTACCCATGCCTGTCATTCCAGCAATTTTCTTGCTTCTTTTTCTGCATCTGAAATTTTAATTTCTCCACCAAGTTCTTCACATCAAAAAACAAAAAAAGAAGTTATTTCATTTAACTGAAAAAAAACCAAAAACTCATAAAGAGCTAATGAATAAAGTTATCTCAAACATTTGATAACTTTAATTATAACTTTAATATTCACAGCTTATATTTATCAATAGATTGTCTTAGGAAAAGAAAAAGACTTCCCATAAACTAGAAGAAAATGTAAAATATAACCAACATATAAACAGCAATGTGTTAAAGAATAATATATAAAGAATAATACAAATAACAAATAATGAACAAAGGATATAGACATTATACAAAATATGAAACATGAACAGACAATATATAATGCTTCATATTGGTAATCAGGGAAATGCTATTAAACATAGAACAGGATGATGTTTTACATTAGCCAGCTTGACAAAAATTTAAAATTTCAATCACAACTGTCAGAGAAGTTACAGAACAAAGGAAACTCTTATACATGACTTGTAAGTAATGAGATGGGGAAGGGGACATAGAAGTCACTGCCTCACAATCAATGGCGGTTACTCAATTCACTAGTCAGTAATGTGTGCTGTAAGTTTCACAATCATTTTATGCTTTTTGTGAGAGTAATAGTTTAACAAAAGTATAATTTTTATTAATCTCACAATAAATTTGACCTAACATTTTATGTGATTGAATTCCTTTAGACCCCATTATTTTATTATGGCTAGTTTCCTGTGTTTTATTTTGTAGATACATATAATAACTCTAAAAGACAGAAAGATTTTGTAACATCAGTTACTTCTGGGAGTGAAAGTGGGAGGAGTATTTTTTTTTACTAAATATTACTTACTTTTTAAATTTTACACTAGGATAATGTATTACTATATTCTGTAACAAAATTAAAATATAACATTTTAAAAAGTTTTAAATTAAAGTAAAAAGTTGAGTAGATGAGAGATTCTGTCTCTAATCAGGGGCTAATGACTGATTCCACTATAAACAACTAGAAAACTAGACAAACTATAGAAAACCATCATTTTCAAACATTAGACAATCAGCAACTAAGGACTGTTTTTCTCCAGTTGAGAAGAGAAACAAGCAATGTAAGCCCTACAATAGCCCCTTATTTCTGCCTGGGGATACTTACTGGACAACACCATTGGCAGCAGAACCCAGACAGAGCTTGGAGAAATCCCTGAATTGAAGAGAGACAAATATTATTTTAGGAGGGCTAAGTGAGCATCTCAAATTTAAAGTAACGAACTATACAAAGAAAGAGCTCCAGAAATCAGCATAGGTTTCCCCTGAGTGACCCAGGGACTGGCTAATTGAGTGAGCATCCAGCCCCGGATCTCGTGTCTAATTCCCCTCCTGAATGTCCAGGATCACTACCTTGAGCTGTCTTCATATCTGCAAATGACAGATTCATCTCTGCCCCTCAGGACTGCAGAAACCTGTGCAAATACTTTCTACTTTTTATGAAAAACATGCACAATTTCACAAGCAAATACCATTTCCTGTGTTTTGGAGCATTAGCTCAAACTTTGGAATTCAGAGTTATGGGTTAGACCCTTTACTCACTTCACCTTTCTCTGCATACTTGTGCCTGATTTTTCCTCTTTTTTATTTTTGTTTTTGTTTGAGACAGAGTCTCACTCTGTCACCCAGGCTGGAGTGCAATGGCCTGATCTTGGCTCACTGCAACCTCCTTCTCCTAGGTTCAAGAGATTTATAAAAGAGCAATATAAATCCCTGTGGAATTCCCCTTTTACTTAAGAATTTAATATCAGCAAATTAGTTTAACAAGGCTGTTTTGTAAGAGGCTGCGGTTGCATTCAAAAATTGGAATGGGAACAACGACTTGTAAAAATTCAACATTTTATTTATTTATTTATTTGAGAGGGAGTCTCACTCTGTCACCCAGGCTGGAGTGCAGTGGTGTGATCTTGGCTCACTGCAACCTGGGCCTCCTGGGTTCAAGCGATTCTTCTCCCTCAGCCTCCCGAGTAGCTGGGATACAGAAACGCGCCACCACGCCCAGCTAATTTTTGTAGGTTTCACCATGTCGGCCAGGCTGGTCTTGAACTCCCTACCTCAGGTGATCCACCCACCTCAGCCTCCCAAAGTGCTGGGATTACAGGTGTGAGCCACCACACCTGACCAAAAGTCAACACTTGAAACTACCACCTGTTATATTCACTGTGTCTGTGATTGGACATATCTTTTTCGGTGGCCAAAAAATTATAAAACGGACACAGAATAGTCTCTTCAAAAAATTAAGGATGTTCTTTCTTCTTAAAAGGATTATAAGGCCAGACGCGGTGCCTCACAACTGTAATCCCAGCACTTTGCGAGGCCAAGGTGGGCAGATCACCTGAGGTCAGGAGTTCAAGACCAGCCTGATCAATATGGTTAAACTCTGCCTCTACTAAAAATACAAAAATCAGTCCAGCCTGGTGGTGGGTGCCTGTAATCCCAGCTACTAGGGAGGCTGAGGCAGGAGACTTGCTTGAACCTGGGAGGCGGAGGTTGTGGTGAGCCAAGATTGCGCCACTGCACTCCAGCCTGGGCAACAAGAGCAAAGCTCCGTATAAAAAAAAAAGGTGTGTGTGTGTGTGGGAGGATAATAAATATAATTCGAACTGGCATCTAAATTAATTTTAGTCGGTATGTGTGTGCACGTTGTGTGTGTGGATGTGTGGATGTAAATGGCAGTAAAAGGTAAAAGGGAAAGGCGGTAAAAAGGGAGATGATCTAACATTTTCAAAACTTTTTATTTTTGTTTCCTTTTGTGTTTTATTTATATATTTTTGGCAGCAAAATTGTGTTTACTAAAAAAAAATCTGGACTATGAACACACTTCACTGCTTTGAAGAACTCCAAGCCAAATAAAAAGACCAATCAATATTAAAAGCAGTATAACTGGTTACTTTCTTAAAAATACATAAAAAGAATCAAATGCAACAGTGTAGGGAGAAAATCACCCCCATGTCAGAAGTCATGACTTCTTCCAAATAAAGAATATGACCCATCTGCCATAGTGAATCAATATTTATTTCAGGACATGCCATGTCAAAATAAAACAAAGAGTCAACCCTTGCCTTTAGCAATTATATTGTATTATAAAAGCACTTTATAACTCCATCCCATCTTTAAGTATAAGTTACTGGTATGTGGGCTAATGATTATCTGTAAGCATTTCTCTATTCAGATCCATAATCCAAGTGCTCTCTGAATATTACAAAGTGACAATAAGTGGGAAGTGGAGGAGGAAGAGGAAAGAGAGGGGACTAAGGTTCTCCCAGTTTAAGGTTTTGTTGCAATGAGGGGATGAGGAAGTATGAAGATACTTTTGTTGTCTTTTCATCTTTATACTGTGTTAAGTAACGTTTACAACATAAATTCAGCAGGCTTTTCCTGACCTGTAACTCGAAGTTTTCTTCCTGCAAACAATGTATTTACAAATGTGTTTATTAGCTTACACAGCAATCTCACAATAACTAGTAAAGATTAAAAGGGCACACTCCTAGTATATTTGTTTGCAGTGTTTTAAGGGAAATACATATTGCCATGGTGAAGCTCTAAATAGATTCAACGAAACATCTAAAAATGGAAAGTTGTTAAAAAAAAAAAAAGCAAAGAAATATCGCCAAAGAAAAAATATTAATCGTAGCTTAAATATAAAACTAAATCACTAGTTAAACTATACAGATCTAATACAAACCAAAACCAGCCTGAAAGACCCAACCTTAAAAAATGCTAAAAAATAAGGCATAAATCTGCATAATATTCAGTTTTATTTCCATTCTCTCCTTTCCCTCTACTATGTATGCTTTACCTGATCTGCCTCTAGGGGCTTACAAGAAAACGGTTTCCGGTTTCCGTCTTCCGTCTTCCGTCTTCAATTTGACCTCAAATGTCCTGAGCAAAGTTTTTGCTATTCTGCTGAGGGTTCTTTTGCTGGTAAGCTTTAGATATCGTTATTTCTGCTAATTCAGTAGTTTTGATCGTAGTGCCAAATTTAAATTCTTCCACTGGTTCTTCTGTAAGGAATTAAACTTTTATGGTGTCTTGCCTGCATAGTATTATTTTTTTAAGAAAGAAAACCCAAGCAAAATCTATTGCTTACAGAGGTTTCTTACTTTTTAAACAAACAGAATAACTCTTGACAATTTTAAAACCTTGGGAGAAATAGTTCATTAGAACTTCATTATCTTACCATGAAGAAGTAAATACTAAAAACCTGTTCTGAAGCACTTGGTTACTTTTCTCTCCCAGAGTCTAATAAAGCACATGTGAAAGGACCATTTGTGTTAGTCAGAAATACATTTTATGTTCTGCTACTTATAAGTACTCAGTATGTTCTTTAGGACTCATTTTGAAGATGCACCAGGAGGCTTTTCTCATTCAAGCACTGCCTACCGTGATCGCTGAATTCTGACCTCAAAGAAGATCTAAGTAATTTACATCAGTGCTCAAGAATAATTCTGGACATCTTGGTCCACAGCCTACAGCAAGTGGTATCTGTAAAATTAAAGGATAATTCCAGTGGGCTTGGTCGGACTGCTGCTTTGCCATCTCTTGTTTGTTTTGAGGAAGTGGGGGGAGGCTAGGTAAGAACACGGAAATAGGGAACGGGGTAAGGGAGAGGTGAGAAGAGCAAGGAGAGATAAAGCAGGCTGTGAACATACTGCTCGTTAACCAAGCCATACTCATACTGTTGAGATTTCCATCATTTTGAAGTACATTATCATAACATTAAAAAAGAAAAAAATGTTAAGAAAATGTATCTAATTTTTAAAGTTATCACCGGAATATGCTGAAATAATTTGGCTTTTTGTAAAATATAAATAATGAAGACGCTGACTTTTTTTGTGCTTGTGAAGCTAATAGATCACCTCCACGAGACAGGCAGCAATGATGAATTGCAAAACGTTATTAATGAAGGGAAAAGGTTCAAGCCAATATTCACACTGCAGTCAATGAAAGAGTAAGGGGGCTTCTGAGGAAGGGTTGAAGATGACATGGGAGAGTAGCAGGAACAACCCCCTTCGCTGACTGTTTGCTCCTGAGGCTTTTCCAGTTTTATGTCACTCATGTCTTCTCTGCTTCCGTCCTGTGTGCTTTCCATTCCCGGCAAAGCTGCTGCTACACGTCGAAAGAGCTGCTTTACATTGTATCCAGCTTTTGCCCTAGTTTCAATAAACGTAACATTCAGCCCTTTGGCTTTCCTCTCTCCCTCCTCAACTGACACTTGCCTCTTGTCAGCAAGATCTGTTCTATTTCCTACTAGCGTGATGATAACATCACTTCCTCTTTCTGTTCTGACATCATCAATCCACTTTGTAGTTTGCTGGAATGAGTTAACATTTGTGATATCGTAAACTACTACAGCTGCAGCAGAATCACGGATGTACCTGGGAATGAGGCTACGGAGACGTTCCTGACCCGCCGTATCCCACAGCCGAAGCCCGATTGTTCCATCCTCCAAGTACATAGTTTTTGATAAAAAGTCAATGCCAATTATTGCCTGATAGGTGTTGTCAAAACTGTCATACCTGAATCTGGTGATCAAAGATGTCTTTGCAACGCTTTGCTCCCCCAGGAACACCAGCTTGAATTTCCTCAGCGGATTCCCGAAGTCTCCGCCCGCGGACATGGTGGAACTAGAGGAGCTGTCGCCGCCTCAGCCCAGAGACCTCCCGGACCGATGCTCCTCCAGCCGGCTGACGAAAAAGGCGAGCGGAAGGGCGGGCGCCGAGCTCTCTGCGCCCCTGCAAGGGCCGGTGGAGGAGCCCGGCTGGAGGAGCCCGGCTGGAGGGCAGCAGGGCTCGCCACAGACTGGCAGCCGCCGCCGCCTCCCGGCAGAGTAGCCGAGCACGGAGCGAGGCCCGCGGCTGGGAAGGGAAGGAGGGCGGTGTCGGCAGGAGCCAGGGGTGTGCTTTGGCTTCCCAAGGCTAGGGCCGTTCCCTCCTTCCGCACCCGGCTCAGAGACCTGCGGGAGAGAGACGGAGGGTGGCGGAGCCCAAACCGCAGATGTATCCGGGATCTCTCACGCGCGGCGCTTCGGCTTCCCCAGCCGCCGCCGCCGCAGCCCAACCTGCTGAGTGCGCGAGCCTCTGGCGCAGGGCGAGCCAGGGCGCCTCAACACAGTTTTTTAAATACACAAAACATATGTACTAAAAACAATGGTGCGGTGAAAACAAAATAATGCAAACTAGAAAAAGGACAAAATTGACATTTTAAAAACTTTATTATGTATTATTAAATATATATTAAATAGAAATGTTATAAAATTTAACGTCCCTATCTCCCCGTCTCTGTGAGAGGTCAGAAACCTAACTTTTCTAAGCCACAATTAAGCAAACACATCTGGCCTAATCACATGGACCAACATCTCTCCTAACATCAGGCAGGAAGTTTCAGTAGCTCCTGCAAAACTCTCCCACCTTGCATTTGAACAGAAATGTCAACTGATACAATTACCCAAGACTTGTATTAGACTGAATCTCACAATCACACTCAGCCTGATTATTAACCCTTCTCCTGCATCTTGCTCACCTAAATGTATCTACATTTTCTATGAACTGAAGAGCTTAGAAATGTATGTCGTCCATGTATTATAGTGTAAGTTATTGTAATATAGAAATATGGATTTTCTTTAACTCCCATTTTCTGCCTAGGAAATAGCAATGTTTTTTGAGTATGGCAAGTGTTTCCAAGCATTCAGAAGTGGAGAGTGTAGGATATCCACTGCAAAATGAGGTCTGCTTGTCATCCTCTTAGTCTCCACTGCTATCCCTCCCTCATCTCTCTCTGTTTCATTGGTGAGTATGGAAGATCAGTCACTTTTATATGAAATGAAAATTGATGAAACTAAGGTGTTGATTTGATTATCCAAGCAACCATTTATTGAGTGTTCATTACAAGTCAAATTGTGTTCTGGAGAACAGCTCAGGAAATGAATGTTTGACATCGATGTACATAACAGAAATACGAACATACCATTAAAAACTCAGACCTCTTATGACAATCCAGATTCTCATGTAAGTTTTGTGAAGCTCTTTCAAGATGAAAATGTAACAATTCAAAAAAAATTATTTAAACAAGTCATTCTTGAGACATAAAAATGGAATTAGAAGATCATATATGGCTGTTTCACTAGCTGAAATCTAAAGTACTGTTTTTAGTCAATTAACGGCCATATAATTGTTAGTTTTATATACTGATATTCATCAGAAATTAAAAACTTTAAAAAGTATTTCTGTCTCATTCTACTAATTTTAAAATTTCATTTATTTGGTTATATTTCTTCATTTTACCTGGCCTTGAATACTTCTTTCCTGCCCAGCATTAAGTTTAATTAATGTCTAATTTGTTTACTTGGTTTAGTTACTTTTGATCATGCTTGGTACACTTCTTATGGACCAGGCATGTAGAAATGTTTACAAGTTTATGGTCCTCACTCTTCCAAATCCCTAATGGCGGCACCCAACAGACACATACCACAATGTAAACACATACTCACACGCACCTGCACACCCATACTCACCCACCTACACGCAGACACACACCCATACTCACCCACCTACACCCAGATACACCTGCACTCACCCACACACACCCAGACTCACCCACACACACCTGTAGTCCCCAGCTACTCCCAAGGCTGAGGCGAGAGATGCTTGAATCTGGGAGGCAGAAGTTACAGTGAGCCAAGATCATGCCTCTGCACTCCAGCCTGAGCGACAGAGCAAAACCCTGTCTCAAAAAAAAAAAAAAATTAGACAATTGTGGTAGCCCATGCCTGTATTCTCAGCTACTTGGGGGAGCTGAGTTGGGGGGATCACTTGAGCCCGGGAAGTCGAGGCTACAGTGAGCCGTGGTCATGCCACTGCACTCGAGCCTGGGTGACAAAGCAAGATCCCTTCTCTACAAAGAAAAAAAAAAAAGAAGTCATCCACCATGGGCACTGAGTCTGATAACCACATACTTTCCTCAGCATAAATCTCCCAGTAGAGTTGCTTTTAGAAAATAGAAGTCATCCCAGCGCAGTGGCTCATGCTGTAATCCCAGCACTTTGGGAAGCTAAGGTGGGAGAATTGCTTGAGCCCTGGAGTTGGAGACCATCCTGGGCAACGTAGTGAGACCCCATCGCTATATACAATTTTAAAAAGTGGCTGGGCATGGTGGCATGCACGTGCGGTCCCAACTACTTGGAAGGCTGAGGTGGGAGGATGGATGGAGCCCAGATGGTGGAGGCTGCAGTGAGTCATGATCACACCACTGCACTCCAGCCCCAGCAGTGGAGTGCGACCCTGTCTCAAGAAAAAAAAAAAAAAAAAAAGGAAAAAGAAAATAGAAGTCAAGAATGGGGGCCCAAATGACTGTTCTGAGTTTCTTTGGTCTGTAGTTATTTTTGTATTGTTTCACAGCCTTTCTCAAAAAAAAAAAAAAACAAACCCAAACAAACGAAAAAACCACCACCACTACCACCAACCACCACAACAACAAAACAGGTTTTAAGTGACCTAATAGGTATTCTGTGTCTCTGGTTCTTTTTCAGAGACCAAAAGACTAGGAGCCTGGCTTCTAGTTTTCAAAAGAGCTAAGTGACTGACCTAGGCTGATGACTCGCAATCCTCGTTTTACAGTTGAACCACCTGAGGAGCTTTTTCAAAATACACATGTCTGGTTTCCAGACCCAGAGATTCTGATTGGGTAAGTCTTGCCTCAGAGATGGGAATGTGTTCTTTTTAAAAGCTCCACAGATAATTTTAGGAGGCAATGCCAGTTAAAAGCCCCCAAATCAGACCCCATTCAGCAGATGCTAGTGTAGGTTAATACTGTGTGAGAACGCTAGAAAAAATTATGTTTGTATTTTCTATAAGCATATACAGAAAGTATGGTACAATGAAAAACATGGTTATAGTAATGCCAAATTGCCTTCCAATTAATTTCTTATGAAGATATTAGTTAATTAGTTGAATTAATTTCTGGTCAAGATATACTATGACCTCTATTATTTTTCTATTCTAAAAGTGGAAAATAAGATACTCTATTACTATGTTTCAATAATAAAAATAATCAATATTGATTGTGTACCACTATGTCAGAGACTGCTAAGTATGTTAAATAGAATTATCTTACTCTCTTTTCTTGTTTATTTTTTTTTGAGACAGAATCTTGCTTTGTCGCCCAGGCTGGAGTGCAGTGGCACAATCTTGGCTCACTGCAATCTCTGCCTCCCAGGTTCAAGCAATTCTCCCTCCTCCGCCTCCCGAGTAGCTGGGATTTCAGGAGCCTACCACTGCGCCCAGCTAATTTTTGTATTTTTAGTAGAGACGAGGTTTCACCATGTTGGCCATGCTAGTCTCGAACTTCTGACCTCTCAGGTGATCTGCCTGCCTCGGCCTCTCAAAGTGCTGGGATTATAGGCATGAGCCACTGTGCCCGGCCACAAGCTAGACTTTCTATGAAGAGGAGCAGAAAGTAACTTTATTATTTCTTTCTCACCCCTCTCCAAGTAAATTTGCTTTGTGGATTGTTCCCCACCTTCCACCGTATCTCTGGATGGAATTTCAAGCAGATCATAGGATTTCCAGTCACCATCTGATATTATCCATTCTAGCCCGTTCTATTTGTTACAACTATAAACTTTCTTCTAATTCAGAATGTCTGTTCTCCTCCAGCTGGGAGAGGCTCAGGAGCCTGCAGTGGGGAGAAGGATGCAGTTGACTTCACCTTCTCCTCTATTCACTAGTAATCGCTGCTTGTGGTCCCTTGGGATGGTGGGAATAGTTAGGGAGAACAAGGATCATCCTTAAACAGCAGCTGCTGGCTGGGCACAGTGGCTCACACCTATATTCCCAGCACTTTAGGAGGCCTAGGGGGGCAGATCATTTGAGGCCAGGAGTTTGAGACCATCCTGGCCAACATGACAAAACCCCATCTCTACTAAAAATACAAAAAATACTAAAAAAAAGCCAGGCATGGTGGTGCGTGCCTGCAGTCCCAGCTGCTTAGGAGGCTGAGGCGTGAAAATCACTTGAACCCGGGAAGCAGAGGCTGCAGTGAGCCAACTGCACTCCAGCCTGGGTGACAGAGCAAGACCTCGTCTCAAAAAAAAAAAAATTAAAAAAACAATAAACAGTTGCTGCCTTGTGATCAGGCAGCTGGGTGCTGTGTACACTGTGTATCCAGTCTATTGGCTCTTTCTCTTTAGAGGGAATGTAGTAGATTTTGAGACACTGTTCATCACCTGGGATCTCCCTTCTGCAGTTTCCTTGATGGTTGTTCAGATACCTCCTCCAGAGTGCCACTTGCAGTTTCACCCTCAGAGTCTGTGTTCCGGGAAGAATTACCCTTTTATTGAGATCACTTCCATCCTTCAGGTGGGCCTGTGGTACAGGGTCCCTTTTAAACCTACTCATGTCCAGTGCCTTCTCCAGGATCTGTATGGCTCACAGTATAAACAACTTCAGTACCCCTCCAGTGGGATAATCTGCAAGTGCATGCAGTTCACAGTGCGGTGGTGCTTCCTTCTCTCCCAGCAAGCAGTCCAAACCAGTGTTTACTCTTTGGAATCAGATGTTAAATCATTCCCCAAATTCCAGGGGACTCATGTCAAGCTCTACAAATGGTCCTGTTGAAGCCATTGTCTGGGCTTGACTTGTAGGAAACGCCACAGCTCACTAGGACCTCTTTCCAATGGCCTCTGCAGCATCCCAGTGGAATCTCGGATTGTAAGTGTCCGGCCCAGCCCCTCAACTTGGAATGTAGGAGTGCCTGACACCTATTTTGTTGTTGGCATTTGGAGTATCTGATGAAAACCAAAATACTCAAATTTAATATACAATTTTTTTTGAAGGGCAGAGGGAGAACAGGCATAGAGGTTAGGTCACTATTATTACGTTCTTGAAATCATTTCTTTTTTTTTTTTTTTTGAGACGGAGTCTCGCTCTGTTGCCCAGGCTGGAGTGCAGGGGTGCAATCTTGGCTTGCTGCAAGCTCCACCTCCTGTGTTCATGCCATTCTCCTGCCTCAACCTCCCGAGTAACTGGGACTACAGGTGCCCACCCCTCGCCCGGCTAATTTTTTTGTATTTTTAGTAGAGACGGGGTTTCACTGTGTTAGCCAGGATGGTCTCGATCTCCTGATCTCATGATGTGCCCGCCTCAGCCTCCCAAAGTACTGGGATTACAGGTGTGAGCCACTGTGCCTGGCCTTTGAAATCATTTCCTTATGGTCTAACATGTTAGAATGTATCATTGAGATCACTATAAATCAGAATAAATACTCCTTTTGAATTATGAGATGATGGTTAGGCGTGGTGGCTCACACCTGTAATCTCAGCACTCTGGGAGGCTGAGGCAGGCTGAACACCTGAGGTCAGGAGTTCGAGACCAGCCTGGCCAACATGGTGAAACCCTATCTCTACTAAAAATACAAAAAAACAAAACAAAACAAAAAATTAGCTGGGCGTGGTGGCGCATGCGTGTGATCCCAGCTACTCGGGAGGCTGAGGCAGGAGAATTGCTTGAACCCGGGAGGTGGAGGTTGCAGTGAGCCACAATCACAGTACTGCACTCCAGCCTGGGCAACAGAGCAAGATGTCTCAAAAAAAAAAAAAAAAGGAATTATGAGATGAATGAATAAATTTAGATGAATGAAGACATGTATACATTTACAGCCTGCCAAATAACTACTTGTAACATTTGGGTGAATTTCTTTATTTTTCATGAATGTGTTAATTTTTTAATTCAATAAGCAACATGCGCAAAACAATATTCTGGACTCCTCTGGACCCTAGATACATACAGCAACAATCTTGGAGGAAAAAAACAGGTAGCAAGAAATCAACATTTAGCAAACACCTCCTCTGTGTTAGGCCCTAAATAAGAATTTCAATGCATAGTCAAGATATTCATATGAAGTCTCTTAAATCCCATGTTTTAAAAAATACAGTAAATCATTTTTTGGTGAATTCCTTTTCACTAGAGATACGATTGGACTACATGTTGACTTTATAAGTGCCATAATCATAATACGAAATAATTTCCCATGTTTTTAAAATCTCTTGGTAAATAATTTCAAAGTTTGCAAAAGACTCCTGTAATTGTATATCCCATAATTATTTAACCTTCTAACAATGCACATTTACTCTTTAACCATTTTATGTATTTCTTATTTTCTTCCTTAGGCTAAATCCGTGGATATAGAATTACTGAGTGAAAGAACCGTTATAAAGCTCTTGGTACTTACTGCAAAATTGCTTTTCAGTCGGGTTTTAGCATTTTACGTTTCCACTACCATTCTATGAAATTGCCATTTCTGGCCAGGCTCACACCTGTAATCCCAGCACTTTGGGAGGCCAAGGCGGGCAGATCAACTGAGTTCAGGAGTTCGAGACAAGCCTGGCCAACATTATGAAACCCCGTCTGTACTAAAAATACAAAAACTAGCCGGGCGTGGTGGTGCACGTCTGTAATTCCAGCTACCTGGGAGGCTGAGGCAGGAGAATTGCTTGAAACTGGGAGGCAGAGATTGCAGTGAGCCGAGATTGCACCACTGCATTCCAGCCTGGGTGACAAAGTGAGACTCTGTCTCAAGAAAAAAAAAGAAAAAAAAAAGTGCTATTTTTGATGATGGGGGGCAAAAACCTTTTGCTATTTTGGTAGATTAAAAACGGTTATCTAGCCATTTTAACTTGTATTTATTTGATTACAAAGTGAGGTTCAACTCTTCTTTGAAGGTGCTTGTAGTTCTTGTTACATAATAATATTTTAACAAGAAAAATAGAACGGTTTTTCCTTAGGGTAAATAACATAGTATCTCTTTGAGGCCAACATTCATGTTCATTATTACCTTTTTACAATCTGGAATTTTCCATTCAGAATATATGGCTTATTGTCTCAGTTCAGAAATTAGATTCTTGCTGCTTGTTTACCCCAGTTGGCTCTGCAGCCCTGAGAAAGGTTTTTCAGTTCTTGCAAACATTTGTATGTAGAGTAGATTTTATTACCATGTAGAAACAGAACAGAAGTTCTTGACAAGTGGAAGTACTCTGTGATAGGGCAGCCTCGAGTGAACAAAACAGGTAAATTGTGAAATTTTTCAAGTATCAGAAGTAACATTTTTTCCTAAGGCAGGAAACAGTATACTCACAAAGAGATTTTTACATCTGCCTGGGTCTTGGTGGAATCATTAAGGGAAATGTGAATTAAATTAAGAAAACTTTCTTAAAAGGCTTTTGTCTTTCAAATAGGCAAAATGAGCTAAGAATACAGATAAAGGTGTGTGAATGAGAACAAGTTATGATGACCCCAGGAAAACCCTTCTCCGAGTTACCTGGCCACCAGCTGTGACCCCTCTGAAGGAGGAGGAAACAAGCACTGCTGTTCAGTGAGCCTGCTCTTCCAAGATGCCAACTCATCTTTATTTTTCTTTCCTAAGTATCTTACACATTTACAGGATCATATAAATTTATTTTCCAAAACAAAATATTTTTGTTGTTTCACCCATTTCAAAACAAACGTGTTTGTTTTTAAGTTAATAATGTTGTTAAAAACTCAGCTTATAAAATTGAAAGTTGCTAGGAGTGGTGGCTCATGCCTGTAATCCAATTACATATATACATATAGATATAATCTCTTCTATAATTGGTTTCCATGGTCATATATGCCTATTTTAAATTGTATTTTATTTTATTTTTTAAGAGATGGGTCTCACTATGTTGCCCAAGCTGGCCTTGAGCACCCGTGCTCAAGAGATCCTCCAGCCTCAGCCTCCCAAGTAGCTGGGACTATAGGTGTGCCACTGCACTGGACTAACATATGCCTGTCTATGTTTATACGTATAAAGTTATTCATCCATTAATATTAGTGCATAGAATTCTATTGTATAGATGTGCCTTAATGTATTTAAGAAATCCTCCTTCTGATGGGCTTTTAAGTCTCTACTTTTTTACTATTACAAGCAATACAGCAATGAACATGAATTTCGTGTATTTGTCCCACTTTGGTATTTGTTCTCTTACAAAAAATTCCAAGATCTGGAATTTGAAGATTAAAGAATGAATACTTTTGTCTGGGCATTGTGGCTCACGCCTGTAATTCCAGCACTTTGGGAGGCCGAGGCTAGTGGTTCACCTGAGGTCAGGAATTTGAGACCAGCCTGGCCAACATGGTGAAACCCTGTCTCCACTAAAAATACACACACACACACACACACACACACACACACACACACACACACAAATTAGCTGGGCATGGTAGCAGGCACCTGTAATTCCAGCTACTAAGGAGGCTGAGGCAAGAGAATCGCTTGAATCTGGGAGGCAGAGGTTGCAGTGAGCCGAGATCGCACCACTGCACTTTAGCCTGGGCGACAGAGCAAGACTCCATCTAAAAAAAAAAAAAAAAAAGAATGACCTTTTAATTATGATATGTATTTCTTCCATACTGCCTTCAAAACTGTGGGACTAATTTATGCTTCTAACCGAAGTATATGATAGTGCCCATTTCCCCACAATCTCACCAATGTTCTAATGGGCTGTCTGTCCTTTGCTTACCTTTTCATAGGCGCTCCTTGTTTTTTCTGATCTTCAGTACCTTGTCATTTAGATGTTTTGCAAATATCCTTTCTCACGGTCTTTTTATTCTGTTGGGCCTTTTGATAAACAGAAGTTTATGAATTTAGTCAATTTTATTCATTTATTTGTATTAAAGTTATATTCTTTTTTTTTTTTTTTTTTTTGAGACGGAGTCTCGCTCTGTCGCCCAGGCTGGAGTGCAGTGGCGCGATCTCGGCTCACTGCAAACTCCGCCTCCTAGGTTCACGCCATTCTCCTGCCTCAACCTCCTGAGTAGCTGGGACTACAGGCGCCCGCCACGACGCCCGGCTAATTTTTTGTATTTTTAGTAGAGACGGGGTTTCACCATGCTAGCCAGAATGGTCTCAATTTCCTGACCTCGTGATCCACCCGCCTCGGCCTCCCAAAGTGCTGGGATTACAGGCGTGAGCCACCGCACCCGGCCTAAAGTTATATTCTTTTACAGTATCTTCTAACAGTTTTAGAATTTTTTTTTTGACATTTAAGTTTTCATTCTACCTAGAGCTTTTTTTTGTAAGAGAGAGGTTTCCAACTTTACCTTTTCCATCTGGATGCCCAATTATCCCAGAGCTATTTATTGAGACATTCAGTCTTCATTGATGTGCCCTGTCTTTACTTATATGTATGGATCTGTTTCTCAACACTCTATTCTGCTCCATTGGCCTGTTTATCCTTGGGCTAACACAACACTGTCTTAATAGCAGCAGCTTTATAATCATTGTTAGCTGATAAAGTATGTCCTCTCATCTTGTGCAATAGGATTGCCCTTTCCTACACCTTTGCAAATTCTATGCATTGTCCTGTGTTCAAAAACAAAAAATAAAGCTGTTGAGATTTTTATTGGATTGACCATGTGAACTAATCTGGAGAACATTGACATATTTCCATTACTTTTTTTTTCTTTTTTTTCCTTAAGGTCAGGAAAGCATCACATATTTCTATTACTGAGTCTTCTAAACGATGAAATTATCTGTCTCCATTTATTTAGATCTCCTTTAATATATCTATAATTTTTAAGAGGTTTTACACGTTGTTAGATTAATTTCCAGCTACTTGTACTTTGAGATGCTATTATAAATGACTTTTTTAAAAAGATGGGGTCTCACTATTGTTGCCTAGGCTGGTGTCAAACTCCTGGGCTCAAGTGATTCGCCTGTGTTAGTCTCCCAAAGTGCTGGCATTACACGCCTGAGCCACCGCACCAACTGTTTTTTTTTTTTTTTGAGATGGAGTCTAGCTCTGTCGCCCTGGCTGGAGTTCAGTGGCATGATCTCAGCTCACTTTTTTTCATTTTCTAATTGTTTGATGGTAGTTTTTATGAATGTAGTCAATTTTTTATATTGACCTTATACCCAGCAACCTTGCTAAATAAATTTATTAATTCTAATAGTTTGTAGATTATTTTCAGTTTTTCAGGTATAAAACTGTCCAGAAATACAGTTTTATTTCTTTCAATTGTGTATACCTTTTATTTATGTTTCTTCCCTTATTCTATTGCCTAGAACTTCCAGCAGTGCTGACTAGAAGTGCGCCCCGTTCTTGACCTCAAAGGAGAACTTTCAACATTTTGCATCGTGTTTATTCTAGAGTTTTGTAGATCTCCTCTGTCAAAATTAGGAAGTTCCATTGTATTTCTAAATTTGCTGAGAACTTTTATTAAAAATGGATGTTAGGTGTGGACGCAGGTGGCTCACACCTGTAATCCTGGCACTTTGGGAGGCTGAGGCAGGAGAATCAGTTGAAGCCAGGAGTTCAAGACCAGCCTGGGCAACAAAGTAAGACACTGTCCCTACAAAAAAAATAAATAAATAAAAAACAAAAAACCTAGCCAGGCGTGGTGGTGCATGCCTGTGATGATCCCAGCTACTTGGGAGGCTGAGGTGGGAGGATAACTTTAGCCCAGGAGTTTGAGTCTGCAGTGAGCTATAATTGTACCAGTGTACTCCACTGTAGGTGACAGAGTGAGACCCCCATCCCTGAGGGGGTGGAAAAAGAATGGATAGTGGAATTTATCAAATGCCACTTCTGCATTTATTAAGATATTCATATGATCTTTCTCCTTTTATCTGTTACTGTAGAAAATTATACTGTTTTTACATATATTGTTTTTAAAATTATAAATAAAAGTCATCCAAATGAGACTTATTTCCATACAGATGAGACTGTAGCAAGCCATTCACTTCCATTGGGTCATTTTTTTTTTTTGCACTTCGTTTTAAGCAATTGAATTTCAATGACAATATAAGCAGGTGTTTATCATGAGTGTGTGCCAGGCTCCTTCCTGAGCACTTTGTGTGTATTATCCCATAAATCATCTCAACACTCAGTGAGCTAGCTACTGCCATTCCTGTTTTTCAGATGAGAAAACTGATTTGGAGAGATACTGAGTGATTTGCCCAGGTCACAGCTGGTAGGTAGCCACGCTAGGATTTAAATCTGGTCTATCTTGAAAACATTTGATCTGAAGCCATACCAGTGCGTTTTACTCCATGCAGCCATCCGAATCACATGAGAAACAGTCTTATAATACTGTGCCCCAGAGAGTAGCCAGCCAGACTGGTTCTCAGGGACTAGTGTACCATCCAAAATACATTTATTAGAAAACAAGAAAGAAGAAAAATAAACAAACCATCCAAGATAAGAAGCCAGAGAAAAGCAGCAAAATAAATCCAATGAAAGTAATGGAAGGTATACATTTTAAAAAACAATATAGAAGACAATAACTCCCATGAAACTGTAAGATTAACATTCTGGTGTTTAAATTTTGTTTTTTCTTTTTTAGGCATAAAGGCAACACAAGTGGTCAGGCTCAGCTACTCTGGTTCCTACAGACTTTCCCCTTTGGGATAGCGTCTCTCACCATCTTGACTGCTTACCAACAGAAGCGCCAAAACCAAACTTGAGGATGTCCACAAGCTTGCTCTACACTTCTACATTCATCCTCATCTTTTTTGTGTGTGTTTGTGGGGTAGGGGAGGTGCAGTGTTTACTCAGTGATCTTTCTACTTTCTAGAAAGTGTCTGTCCTTCAAAACTATTTAAGAGCCTCTCATTAGTCATTTTTTCTCTTATATGCTCTGGTTGAGCTTGAATAGACCAGTTGTTGCTTAAGAAAGAAACTGAAAAGATTTTAGCTTTTCAGTCCTATTTGGCAGAGGACTTCAGCTACCTTCTTATGGTCTTTGGCTGTGTTGGTGCCCTCATGTGCTCTGGGCTAAGCCACATACTAAATTGACTTTTTGGTTTGTATACCCTTGCTCTCGCCTTCTGATGAAAACACCTTACCCTCACCACCACCATCTTTGCTCTCCTTTCCCAAAACTCTTTCCGCCTTGCTGCACTAAGATAGTGACACCTCCACCACACGTCAATTCCACACACATTTATTAGGTACCTGTGAAGCAGGATCTTATCCTCTTAAACTTCCACTTCTCACACTAGAGAGAAAGATAAGGAAGATGAGCAAGTGCCTGGAATGGGGCAGGCTGAGTGGTCACACAGGCACAGAGGCACACTGAGAACCTACAGGGGAGACTGCAGAGTGCCTTCCCTGATGCTGCAGCTGGAAGTCATCCTTCCCTCCACCTGGCCCCTGAGACACTCTACTCTGTAGTGTGCAGTCTGATGGCACTGCTAGATTTCTTTTTCAGCTCAGGGCCACAGCTTAAACAGCTTTACCTTTCCCCTCAGCACCTGTCCCACTACCTTGCACACAGGTACTCTATCCGTGTTTATTGAACAAAGGAGGGAAACTGATTTCACTTTCACTTGTTCATTATCATTCCAATTTTTATGTGAAAATGGCACAACCCATTTGGGGTACACTCATCTCAAAAGAAAAGCCCAAGACTACCTCTGACTGGTACCACCTTTTTTGTGGGTTCCTTGGTGAGAAACCTTTATCTTTTTCATACTTTTCTATTCTCCATCACTTCTCCAAAAGTGTCTCTTTCCAGCTCTGATTTATTCAAAACACACAAACATTCCTGTTTAGAGATTCTAGCCCATGGATTATCCGGCTAGTTAGTACCTCTCCTGTTCACTTGGTTATACTTTATTATTGCTCAGAGGTTGGGGAGGCAGAATGACTGTGTCCCCTCACCCTGGCAGAATGACTGTGTCACCACTAGGAGCCATTAGGGCTTCTTCCCAGGAGGACTGCCTGCTTGCTTTCTGGGGACTAGCCCTTATTTCCCTTCTGTGGTCCAGTGGGGCAAGTGATTTGTATTAGACAAATATTTATAAGAAACAACCCCCTCCCCAAAATAGAGCCACCAAGTAAAGCACAAGCCTGAAAGATGATGAACTATGAATTGTCTCTAGTGGATATAAATTTCTGCAAATATATCTCAGTCTTTCTCTCTTTTCTCTGGTGATTAAAAAGTTGGTTTTTGGTAAGGAAAAGGATTTTTGACCATAGAGTTATGCATCATGGAAATTCAAACCCGATTTCTTAATACCTGGTCTTCTCCGAAGAGAAATAATGATAGTAATAGTGGTGCTGGGAACAATATGGAAGATTATTGAATGAAATGGATTAACTTGAATAAAATGCTGTGAATTATCTCTAGCTGAATGCTTTTCTTGTATTTGTCAGTTTTGATATATTGATGCACATTTGATTCTTTATCTCAAATAGACTTTACTAGGGAACTGTTTATACACTTCAGATCCCAGTTTGTTTTTCACTGATAAAGAAATGCAAAGCACTGTGGTTGTCGGGTATATATGTATTATATTTGTAGACCTGTCCATGCCCCACTTACCTCCTCCACGTACAGTGAATCACTACGGTAGACATAAGTGTCTCCTTTTCATTGTAGGATTGTCTCCTTTTTGTTTCTGTTTTTATTCAACATTTGATAAAGTCTATGCACTAAGTAAGGAGTGTTCTGGCATTTTTTTAATGCACGAAGTCCAGGATGCATCACTTAACAACGGGGATGCATTCTGAGAAATGCATTATTAGGTGAGTGCATCATTGTGCAGATATCACAGGGTGTACTCACAAACCTAGATGGCGGAGCTGACTACGCACCTAGGCTATATGGTACAGTCTGTTGCCCGTAGGCTACAAACCTGTACAGCATATAGAGTAGTACTGAATACTGAAGGTAACTGTAACACAATGGTAAATATTTGTGCACCTAGCTTTTCTTTAGGATGGGATTTTAAAAAAAATAGACAAACAGGCCAGGCACAGTGGGTCACGCCTGTAATCCCAGCCCTTTGGGAGGCTGAGGTGGGCAGATCACCTGAGGTCAGGAGCTCAAGACCAGCCTGGCCAACATGGTGAAGCCCTGTCTCTACTAAAAATACAAAACAGCCAGGCATGGTGGTGGGCACCTGTAATCCCAGCTACTTAGGAGACTGAGGCAGGAGAATGGCTTGAACCCGGAAGGCGGAGCTTGCAGTGAGCCGAGATTGTGCCACTTCACTCCAGCCTGGGCAACAGAGCGAGACTCCATCTCAAAAAACAAAACAAACAAAAAAATAGCCAAACATAGAAAAGGTACAGTAAAAATGTGGTGTTCTAATCCTATGGAACCAGTGTCATATGTGCTGTGTGTCATTGATCAAAACGTCAATATGCAGGCACGCCTGTATAAAATCCTTTCATCTTATTTGGGGTATTATCATGGCTTAGATGCAAAGGGGGATCTAGTGAGCAAATGGTGCAGATCGTTCCTTTCATAGACCCATAAACATCTCAGTGAGGTGAAGTAACTTGCCCAGTATCACACAGAGAGGCATGATTCTGGGCCTCGTGTTGCCCACCTCCCCCATCATCCAGGAGTTTAGTAGTAAGTCTGTGAAGCAACAAATTTAAAAATGGAGACATCTTGGCTTTGTGTGGTAGTCATGGTGGTGATATGGGAGAAACAGCTTTATGTTGATTTTGGATGAGAAAAGGCCAGAGGCATCTTGGTGGAAGCAACCATGGAAAAAAACCAGGCTAAACTGTTTTCATACCCACTCCTTAGATTTCCAAAGCACATATAGTTTGGAAAAATAAAAAAGGACAAAAAACCGACAAAAAAAAAAAACAAAGACAAAACAAAACAAACTAATGACCTCAGAACTTGGAGGGGCAACCCACCCCTACATCTGGTGCCCCCCAGGGACAGGCCATAGTTGAAAGAACTAATAGAACACTCAAAACTCAATTAGTTAAACAAAAAGAAGGGGGAGACAGTAAGGAGTGTACCACTCCTCAGATGCAACTTAATCTAGCACTCTATAGTTTAAATTTTTTAAACATTTATAGAAATCAGACTACTACTTCTGCAGAACAACGTCTTACTGGTAAAAAGAACAGCCCACATGAAGGAAAACTAATTTGGTGGAAAGATAATAAAAATAAGACATGGGAAATAGGGAAGGTGATAACGTGGGGGAGAGGTTTTGCTTGTGTTTCACCAGGAGAAAATCAGCTTCCTGTTTGGATACCCACCAGACATTTGAAGTTCTACAATGAACCCATCGGAGATGCAAAGAAAAGCGCCTCCACGGAGATGGTAACACCAGTCACATGGATGGATAATCCTATAGAAGTATATGTTAATGATAGTGTATGGGTACCTGGCCCCACAGATGATCGCTGCCCTGCCAAACCTGAGGAAGAAGGGATGATGATAAACATTTCCATTGGGTATCGTTATCCTCCTATTTGCCTAGGGAGAGCACCAGGATGTTTAATGTCTGCAGTCCAAAACTGGTTGGTAGAAGTACCTACTGTCAGTCCCATCAGTAGATTCACTTATCACATGGTAAGCGGGATGTCACTCAGGCCACGGGTAAATTATTTACAAGACTTTTCTTATCAAAGATCATTAAAATTCAGACCTAAAGGGAAACCTTGCCCCAAGGAAATTCCCAAAGAATCAAAAAATACAGACGTTTTAGTTTGGGAAGAATGTGTGGCCAATAGTGCGGTGATATTACAAAACAATGAATTCGGAACTATTACAGATTGGGCACCTCGAGGTCAATTCTACCACAATTGCTCAGGACAAACTCAGTCATGTCCAAGTGCACAAGTGAGTCCAGCTGTTGATAGCGACTTAACAGAAAGTCTAGACAAACGTAAGCATAAAAAATTGCAGTCTTTCTACCATTGGGAATGGGGAGAAAAAGGAATCTCTACCCCAAGACCAAAAATAATAAGTCCTGTTTCTGGTCCTGAACATCCAGAATTATGGAGGCTTACTGTGGCCTCACACCACATTAGAATTTGGTCTGGAAGTCAAACTTTAGAAACAAGATATCGTAAGCCATTTTATACTATCGACCTAAATTCCAGTCTAACGGTTCCTTTACAAAGTTGCGTAAAGCCCCCTTATATGCTAGTTTTAGGAAATATAGTTATTAAACCAGACTCCCAGACTATAACCTGTGCAAATTGTAGATCATTTACTTGCATTGATTCAACTTTTAATTGGCAACACCGTATTCTGCTGGTGAGAGCAAGAGAGGGCGTGTGGATCCCTGTGTCCATGGACCGACCGTGGGAGGCCTCGCCATCCGTCCATATTTTGACTGAAGTATTAAAAGGCGTTTTAAATAGATCCAAAAGATTCACTTTTACTTTAATTGCAGTGATTATGGGATTAACTGCAGTCACAGCTACGGATGCTGTAGCAGGAGTTGCATTGCACTCTTCTGTTCAGTCGGTAAACTTTGTTAATGATTGGCAAAAAAATTCTACAAGATTGTGGAATTCACAATCTAGTATTGATCAAAAATTGGCAAATCAAATTAATGATCTTAGACAAACTGTCATTTGGATGGGAGACAGACTCATGAGCTTAGAACATCGTTTCCAGTTACAGTGTGACTGGAATACGTCAGACTTTTGTATTACACCCCAAATTTATAATGAGTCTGAGCATCACTGGGACATGGTTAGACGCTATCTACAGGGAAGAGAAGATAATCTCACTTTAGACATTTCCAAATTAAAAGAACAAATTTTCGAAGCATCAAAAGCCCATTTAAATTTGGTGCCAGGAACTGAGGCAATTGCAGGAGTTGCTGATGGTCTCGCAAATCTTAACCCTGTCACTTGGGTTAAGACCATCGGAAGTACTACAATTATAAATCTCATATTAATCCTTGTGTGCCTGTTTTGTCTGTTGTTAGTCTGCAGGTGTACCCAACAGCTCCGAAGAGACAGTGACCATCGAGAACGGGCCATGATGACGATGGCGGTTTTGTCGAAAAGAAAAGGGGGAAATGTGGGGAAAAGCAAGAGAGATCAGATTGTTACTGTGTCTGTGTAGAAAGAAGTAGACATGGGAGACTCCATTTTGTTATGTACTAAGAAAAATTCTTCTGCCTTGAGATTCTGTGACCTTACCCCCAACCCCGTGCTCTCTGAAACATGTGCTGTGTCAAACTCAGGGTTAAATGGATTAAGGGCGGTGCGAGATGTGCTTTGTTAAACAGATGCTTGAAGGCAGCACGCTCCTTAAGAGTCATCACCACTCCCTAATCTCAAGTACCCAGGGACACAGAAACTGCGGAAGGCCGCAGGAACCTCTGCCTAGGAAAGCCAGGTATTGTCCAAGGTTTCTCCCCATGTGATAGTCTGAAATATGGCCTCGTGGGAAGGGAAAGACCTGACTGTCCCCCAGCCTGACACCCATAAAGGGTCTGTGCTGAGGAGGATTAGTATAAGAGGAAGGCATGACTCTTGCAGTTGAGACAAGAGGAAGGCATCTGTCTCCTGCCCATCCCTGGGCAATGGAATGTCTCGGTATAAAACCCAATTGTATGTTCCATCTACCGAGATAGGGAAAAACCACCTTAGGGCTGGAGGTGGGACATGCGGGCAGCAATACTGCTTTGTAAAGCATTGAGATGTTTATGTGTATGCATATCTAAAAGCACAGCACTTAATCCTTTACCTTGTCTATGATGCAAAGACCTTTGTTCACGTGTTTGTCTGCTGACCCTCTCCCCACAATTGTCTTGTGACCCTGACACATCCCCCTCTTCGAGAAACACCCACGAATGATCAATAAATACTAAGGGAACTCAGAGGCTGGCAGGATCCTCCATATGCTGAACGCTGGTCCCCTGGGTCCCCTTATTTCTTTCTCTATACTTTGTCTCTGTGTCTTTTTCTTTCCTAAGTCTCTCGTTACACCTTACGAGAAACACCCACAGGTGTGGAGGGGCAATCCACCCCTTCAAGAACTTAATAGTAGGCCCAATTGATAAACTAACAGCGTTTCCTATATTCAACATCTTTATGATTCCATGCAGTCTAAGCATGGTTTAAAGCCACGGTGTTAACATAAGCCTGAGTTAGGTTTAAGAGGTTATATTTCAGATGTGTAAAGAGGCTTTTTAGCAAAACAACTTGCAATCTCAGACAGCCCTTATATCTTCACACTGAGGGTCTGAGAACATGAAAGAGAAGTCAAAGAACCTGCAACTGAGGTCAGAGAGCACAGTGCAATCACATTTTTATCTTGCTAGGGCCCTTTCTGGAGTCTCATTAATTAAAGCTCTTAGTTTAGCAACCTGGGTTGTGAATATTTTTTCTTCCCTTTCTTGTCAGCACAGTGAAAAAAATGCTAGTAGGGTAGCTGAGTAATACACTTGAAGACCATGGAAACATTCTCTCTGTGAGGCTCCTTGTCCACAACAAATTGTGAATTATGTTTCCATTTTCATCCACACTGCACAATAGGAGTCTTTAGTATTCACGTTTCTCTTCTTGGAGAGGAGATTTGTGCTCTGATTCCACAGTAAACGTTTGAAAATCCTACTCAAAATACTGTATTTGCAAATTCTGCGAAGTATTTTAAGATGGCTTCTAAGCTTTTATAAAGGATTAAGTACATCAATTGCCTCATTTCTATTTGTAGTAAGTCATTATGTTGGATTAAGGGAAATACTCCTGGTATACAATGAATACTGTTCAGTTACATTTGTGTGGGAAATGGAAAAGTAATTTTTAAAAGTAAGGAAGCAATAAAAATGCTGTTCAGGGAAATATTCATGAATGAACTTTTGCTTACTTTTTCCTTGTTTTAATACATTGCACAGGATGAAATTGAAGAAATCTTAACATTGTTATAAATGAGAGGAATGGCATCTATAATGTAAGGTAGGGAAGAGTTACCTAAATCTCAAGCACATGGGGTCACCTCCACAACTTTAATCATGTCTACAATACAGCTGAATTTATTATTTATGATTTCAAGCAATTCACTTTTTTTTCTTTTTTCTTTTTTTTTTTTTTTTTGAGACTGAGTCTCACTCTATTTCCCAGGCTAGAGTGCAGTGGTGCAATCTTGGCTCACTGCAGTCTCCACCTCCCAGGTTCAAGCGATTCTCCTGCTTCAGCCTCCCAAGTAGCTGAGATTACAGGTGCCAACCACCATGCCTGGCTAATTTTTGTATTTTTAGTAGAGATGGGTTTTCACCATGTTGGCCAGGCTGGTCTCAAACTCCTGACCTCAAATGATCTGCCGGCCTCAGCCTCCCAAAGTGCTGGGATTACAGGCATGAGCCACTGCACCTGGCCAGAAATTCACTTTTTAAAAAAATTTCCTAAACAAGAATAACTATGAAATTCCAGACTTGGTTTGTTCATTACATTTTTTCTAATATATATGGAAAGAAAGGATAATTATTACCTAAAATCACCATGCATACTGTTGATACATTTGACACACTTAAAAATCAGAAAGTATTACCCTACTAGTTGAGATTGAAGATGGGATTTAACCTAGCTCTAGCCACATGCACCTTTCCGGACCTTGGTTTCATCATTGAAAGAATTGAAGTACCACCCCAAACCTGTTAGAACTAATAGACAAATTCAGTAAAGTTGCAAGATGCAGTCAAAATGCAAAAATCAGTAGCATTTTCATACACTAACAACAAGCTATCAAAAAAAAAAAAAAAGCAAGCAAGCAAGCAATCCCATTTACAGTAGTTAAAAAGAAGTTAAATACCTAGGAGTACATTTAACCAAGGAAGTGAAAGATCTCTACACTGAAAACTCTAAAACACTGATGAAAGGAACTGAAGACGCAAATAAATGGAAAGTCATGCCATGTTCATGTATTGAAAGATTTAACATTGTTTAAATATCCATACTACCCAAAGCAATCTACAGATTCAATGCCATCCCCATCATAATTCCAATGATAGAGCAGGGCGCAGTGGCTCACGCCTGTAATCCCAGCATTTTGGGAGGCCAAGGCAGGTGGGTCACCTGAGGTCGGGATTTCGGGACCAGCCTGACCGACATGGAGAAACCCCGTCTCTACTAAACATACAAAATTAGCCAAGCGTGGTGGCCCATGCTTGTAATCCCAGCTACTCAGGAGGCTGAGGCAGGAGAATCGCTTGAACCCAGGAGGCAGAGGTTGTGGTGAGCCGAGATGGTGCCATTGCACTCCAGCCTGGGCAACAAGAGCAAAACTCCCTCTCAAAATAATAATAATAATAATAATAATAATAATAATAATAATAATAATTCCAACGATATTTTTTCTCAGAAATAAAAAAAAAATCCCAAAATTTGTATGGCACTTTGGGAGGCCGGAGCAGGTGGATCACTTGAGGTCAGGAGTTTGAGACCAACCTGGCCAACATGGTGAAACCCTGTCTCTACTAAAAATACAAAAATTAGCCAGGCATGATGGTGCCTGCTTGTAATCCCAGTTCCTTGGGAGGCTGAGGCAGGAGAATCGCTTGAACCCTGGAGGTGGAGGGAGAGAAAGAAAAGAAAAAGAAGAGAAGAGAAGAGAGGAGGGAAGGCGGGAGGGTGGAGGGAGGGAAGGAAAGAAGGAGAAAGAAAAAAAGAAAGAGAGAAAGAGAGAGACAGAGAAAGAGAAAGGGAAAGGAAGGAAGAAGGAAAGAAGGAAGGAAGGGAGGGAGGGAAAATAAAGCAAAGAAAGAAAGAAACTTTGTAAACTATAACACGTAAAGCACGAGTACAGTTTTCCTGGAAGGTTTGTGATTGCCCACATTGCAGCCTGTGCTCCTCAAACTTGACCACATGGATGGATAGACCACTTTGAGTAGCAAAATAGAGAAAATTTAGAACTAGAAATCACATGGTTCAGCCTTGATTTCTGAGGCTTAGCGTTGGTTTCTATATGTACCAACACCGTCAATAAGAAAAACTTCTAGGCACTGTTCCTGGGAGGTTAGTAGTTAATGTCAATAGTATTTGGAGCCATAACACAATCCAGCAAAGAACGTTGCTCCAGGGCTGAAAATGCTGATGGAATCAGCCAACTGACCTATCCACATACTTCTCCCTCCCGGAGAAGAAAAATTAGGCATTAGGTCTTTTGAAAGTAAAAAAAACTCAATACTTTTCAAATATTTATTTTGTTCTGGAAACTGATATAAAATATCCAAAATCCACAACTGCTCTTTGAGGTGACCATTATCCCCATTTTATAGTTGAAGATACTATAAAATATTATAAAGATGAAGACACTGGCCGGGCACAGTGGCTCACACCTGTAATCCCAGCACTTCGGGAAGCTGAGGCAGGAGGATGGCTTGAGCCCAGAAGTTCAAGAACAGCCTGGGGCAACATGGCCAGACCCAGTCTCTACAAAAAATTAGCCAGGCGTGGTGGCACATGCCTGTGATCCCCGCTACTGGGGAGGCTGAAGTGGGAGGATCACCTGAGCGCAGAGATGTCCAGGCTGCAGTGAGCCATGATTATGCCACTGCTCTCCAGCATGGGCCACAGAGGGACACCCTGTCTCAAAAAAAAGGAAAAGAAAAAGACAATAACACACCACCTCATTCATTCATTCTATATAAATACATAAATAAGATACTACATGGTAGAGAATCCCTGCAAAGATCTTCAAAATCAACCCTAAACAGATAGTGGAAGGACAGGAGAGAGATACACTAACACTAAGTGGGGAAATTAGGGAATTTCTCACTACCCTCTCCGAGACTGAAGACTACTGAAATTAGTGTGGGGGTGTAGCCTGGGCATCATGAAGAACTGGTTGGGCAGCCTTTACATTCTGCTCTGTTCCTTCAAGTTGCCTTGAGAGAGATAGTCATCAGCCTGACTCCTTCAGCATGACAGTTAACAGTGCCCGGAGCATTGTCCACTGATATCAGCAACACAAACTCTGCGGGGGGCATGGGAGAGAATTCACAAAAATAGTCACAGACAGCCCTCAGGTAGTTCCTTCACCGTGCTTCCAACCAAATTGCTAGGACTATAGATTATCTTATTTCCTCCTAAGGGTTTAAAAGTGAAAACTCCAGCCAAAGGAGTGATTAGTGGATTGGCCTCAGACAGGGATTCACTAAGGGGTCTGTGATCCCTGGATTCTCAGTCCTCACATGGCCGGAACCAACATAGATGAGGCTGGCCTTGGCCCCTCCCAGTACGTATGACCAAACATTTTCCCAAAGGAAAATGAGCCCACAGCCAAATAACTGGACAGTTGAGGAGGAAAAGTCTACACAAGCAGCACGTATCATCTGATCACACATGTTGAAGCAGAAGGTCCCAAAATCTAATAATGCTCCTTAAATAGGAGACAAGAGAAAATGTTAGCAATATGCAGCAAGAACAAGATATCATTAAAACAAACTAAGTGAAAATATTAGGTAGGAAAAATAAAATAGCTAAAACAAAGAATTTGATAAATGGAAATTAATCAAATTTGACAAATGAAATAGAATGGATATAGTTGAAGAAAGAATATATGAACACATGATTGTGGTGGTCTCACAATAAGACTAAAACATAAGAAATAGAGAAGAAAAGCTTGGAAATGTGGATGATAAACATAAAAGTGCGAACACCTGAGCAATAAATTCAGATGGCATAAGAAGTAAAAATAGAGTGGAGGAAATACTTGAAGAAATAATGGAGATACATTTCCAAAAAAATGACCTTATTTGAAAGGACTTATAAAGAGCTAACAAGAGATAAGGAAAAATCAATTCCTAGGTACAAGTATAAAATTTAAAAATAATAAGCAAAAAATAATAATAAATAAAAATAATGAGGAGACTGGGCAAAGTGGCTTATGCCTGTAATCCTACACTTTGGGAGGCCAAAGCAGGAGGATCACTTGAGGCCAGGAGTTTGAGACAAGCCTGAACAACATTTTGAGACCCTATCTATCTCTACGAAAAAATTAAAAAAAAAAAAATAGCTAGTCATGGTGGCACTTGCCTGTAGTCCTAGCTACTGGGTAGGCTGAGGCAGGAGGATCACTTTAGCCCAGGAGGTCAAGGCTTCAGTGAGCTGTGATCATGCACCACTGCACTCCAGCCTGGGCCATAGAGTAAGACCCTCTCTCAAAATGATAATAATAATAATAATATGACAAAGAGAAAGCTCTAAAAGCTTCCAGAGAGAGAACAGATCATCTTCAAACTACATAGTAGTTATAAAGTATTAGGAGACAGTAATTTTGAAGGTAGAATTTTATTATTTATTTATTTATTTGTTTGTTTATTTATTTTTTGAGACGGAGTCTCGATCTGTTGTCCAGGCTGGAGTGCAGTGATGCAATCTTGGCTCACAGCAACCTCCACCTCCTGGGTTCAAGTGATTCTCATGCCTCAGCTTCCAAGTGGCTGGGATTACAGGCATGCACCACCATGCCTGGTTAACTTTTGTATTTTTAGTAGAGACAGGGTTTAACCATGTTGCCCAGGCTGGTCTCGAACACCCGCTTCAGCCTCCCAAAGTGCTGAGATTACAGACATGAGCCACCGTGCCCGGCCTCATTTCACCTCTTGAACTTGGGTTTTCTCGTGAGGCAGTTACACTTGATTTATAACGTTCCTCTCAGCTTTAAAATTCCATAAAATTCCAGAAGCACTATCTACTAGTGAAACAATTTGCTGGGAGAAGTAGTGAGTCCCCTGTCACTGGAAGCATCCAAGCAGAGTGAGAATAGCCAGTTGTCTGATATGCTGTAGAGAGAATTCCTACATTAGGTAAGGAGGTTAATATTTGATTTCAATAATTAAGCCAATAATAAAAAATAGCACTGAGTATGTAATATGTACCCAGCACTGCTCTAAGCATTTACACACGTCTCATTTGATCTTTTCGGTAACTGCAAGGGGAGTGGGTACTATCCCCATTGTACAGAGGATACTCAGATCAGGGGCAGCACTAACCAGAGAGCTCACAGCTAGAGAGAGACAGAGATTGGAAATCAGATTGCTGTGGCCCCCAGCAAGTCCTAATCACCACCCAATTCTGTCAGTAGCCTCGGGGTTCTGGGATGGGCATGTCTTTCCGCTGGCCTGGGATCTGGGTGCAAGGTGACGTGCCTGCCTCCTACCCATCTCCCTCCTAGGCAGGAAATTGAGCATGGAATGCAGACGGCAGGCTTGCCAACAAGGCCTCTTTCCCACGGCCTGCAGCAGAAAGGGGCTGCTTTCCGCTGCTTGGGCTGCAAATGCTCTGAGCCCTTCACCGGCAGCCTTATTTTACAGAAGGCGAAAACTAACACCCAGAAATGGCAAGCTACTTACCCAAAGTCACAGAACGAACAAGTGGCACAGTTGGGAAACATCTGCCTGGAGTCCTCACTTCCGGGCCAGTGCTTGATGTTCTGTTTTTTTTGTTTTTGTTTTTGTTTTTTTTTTTGAGACGGAGTCTCGCTCTGTCGCCCAGGCTGGACTGCAGTGGCGCAATCTCGGCTCACTGCAAGCTCCACCTCCCGGGTTCACGCCATTCTCCTGCCTCAGCCTCCTGAGTAGCTGGGACTACAGGCGCCCGCCACCGCGCCCGGATAATTTTTTGTATTTTTAGTAGAGACAGGGTTTCACCGTGGTCTCGATCTCCTGACCTCGTGATTCACCCGCCTCGGACTTCTGTTTTGTTTTTAACTAAATCACATTACTGCAGTCGCTTACATGTGACAGTCCCTCAGTTTTCTGTTCTGAATATATGTATTTTTTAATCAAGGCCTATGCATCAACTACAGCAAATTGGAGATTCCCAAGAGTGGCAATTATTCAAAACGAAACTCTCTGCCTATGATATTCTAAAAATTCTAATCTAACCTCACCCCTGTGTCACAAGAAACTCATCTCTTGTTGGTCCTGAATCCACACTTCTGCTCCTTTGAGGCAAGTTTCCTCACTAACATTGACCCCCAATTACATATTAACCTTTGCCCCAGCTGTCACCCAGCAGAATTCCCTCCGCAGTCCTCTCTGCTTATCTGGCCTGCTGGGAACTCACGATCGGACAGCACTGAGAATTGAACAACTGTTTCTTTCTTCTTCTTCTTCTTTTTTTTCTCAAGATCTGCTTTTAGGAGAAGCAATCATTTCAACACTGCATTACAAATGAACTTATACCTCAGTCAGAAACAAGCAACCCCATTCCCCACATAAGCTATTATTATTATTATTTTTTGGACATGGAGTTTCACTCTGTTACCCAGGCTGGAGTGTAGTAGTGCCATCTTGACTCACTTCAACCTCTGCCTCCCAGGTTCAAGTGATTCTCCTGCTTCAGCCTCCCGAGTAGCTGGGATTACAGGGGCCCGCCACCATGCCCGGCTAATTTTTGTATTTTTTAGTAGAGACAGGGTTTCACCATGTTGGCCAGGCTGGTCTCGAACTCCTGACCTGAAGTGATCCACCCACCTTGGCTTCCCAAAGTGTCGGGATTACAGGCATGAACCACTGCACCTGGCCTTTTTTTTTTTTTTTTTTTTTTTTATGGGCAATATGTACTTTCAGATCACATGTTGGTTGGGGATCATCCTCCAAGATGCACATTCACTTTCTGGAGGATGACACAGTTAGAAACAGGTTTTAGAATCCAGTGTGACCTTGGGCAGATCTTTCATCTGTTCTCAATCACATTTGTAAAACATAGGCAAAGACTGTGGCAACCTCACAAAGAATGTTTGCTGAAAGGAGAAACGAGTGGTTTCTGGGCCAATCCATTCTTACCCTGTGGAAGTCAGACCCCATGTCTCACTTCATCGGCAAGTGTAGTTGAAGATTGTCATCAACATCATCCCCCTGGCCCGCCGCCTGTTGGCATCAAGGTCACCTGCAGTGGGTCTTCCACACTGAGGGACTGTGCCCTTTGCCACTCAGCTGGGGCCCAAAGCTCTGTTCTCCACAAAAGTCATAAAGGGATATTAATGGAAATACTGGCAAATCTTACAATATAGAAATATAAAAAAGTTCTGTGTTAAAACTATTGTAAGCAAACTGAGAAAACAATCATGAAACTGGGAGAAATACCTGCAAGAAGAAATTATGCGCAATCATATCACAGGCAGAGGTGAACTTCCCTAATACATAAAGAGCTTCTACTATTCAATAGGAAGAAGCCTACCAACACAAAAAGAATAAACAGAAGTAAAGGATATAAACATTTAGTCACAGAAAAGGAAATACAAACAGTTCTGGACATTTTATTTTATTTTTTTTAATTAAAAAAATTGCCAGGCACAACGGCTCACGCCTGTAATCCCAGTACTTTGGGAGGCTGAGGCAGGCGGATCACGAGGTCAAGAGATCGAGACCATCCTGGCCAATATTGTGGAACCTCGTTTCTACTAAAAACACAAAAATTAGCTGGGCATGGTTGCGGGTGCCTATAATCTCAGTTACTTGGGAGGCCGAGGCAGGACAATCGCTTGAACCTGGAGCTGGACGTTGCAGTGAGCCGAGATCGCACCACTGCACTACCGCCTGGTGACAGAGTGAGATTCCGTCTAAAACAAAACAAAACAAAACAACAACAACAAGCAAAAACTAATGAGCAAACAAAAAACAAAAAAAAAAATATTGTACTAAGAGAACAATTTTCCACCTATCATGTTGAGGAACATATTTAAGAGTTTTATGGCTGGATGTGGTGGCTCACACCTGTAATCCCAGCACTTTGGGAGGCCAAGGCAGGTGGATCATCTGAGTTTGGGAGTTTGAGACCAGCCTGACCAACATGGAGAAACCCCATTTCTACTTAAAATACAAAATTAGCCAGGCGTGGTGGCACGTGCCTCTAATCCCAGCTACTTGGGAGACTGAGACAGGAGAATCACTTGAATCCGGGAGGCGGAGGTTGAGGTGAGCTGAGATTGCACCATTGCACTCCAGCCTGGGCAACAAGAGTGAAACTCCATCTCAAAATATAAAAAAATAAAAAAAAAGTTTTATGACGTGCTTGTTAGAGCTGTGTGAGGAAGAAAGCATTTCTATACACTGAGGATGAGAGTGTATATTAAAGTCACTGCTGTGAGGCAATTTGGCATTATCAATCAAAATCACAAATGCACAAACCCTTTGACTCAGGAATACAGATATATTCTGATGCATGCCAAAAACGTATGGACAAGATTTTTCATTGCAAAATTGTTTGTCATCTTCTTATACAGTGTATGAATACGAGAACTCTGGAAATGTACACCCATATTATTGTATAATGCAAGCATGCATTTTTATTCTGCTTATATATGTTTTTTCCTGAACTTATACATATTTACTGATAAAATAAGCTAGCATTGCTTTTACATAATGTTTAAATATGTAAATGTCAATCTGTGTTTAACAAAATTGATATATTGCACTGATGAATTTTATTTCAAAAGTTATCTTTTGGCTGGGCGAGGTCGCTCACACCTGTAATCTCAGCACTGTGGGAGGGTGAGGTGGGTGGGTCACCTGAGGTCAGGAGTTCGAGACCAGCATGACCAATATAATGAAATTCCATCTTTGCTAAAAACATGAAAATTTGCCGGATGTGATGGTGTGGGCCTGTAGTCCCAGCTACTTTGGAGGCTGAGACAGGATAATCGCTTGAACCCGGGAGGCAGAGGTTGCAGTGAGCCGAGATTGTGCCACTGCACTCCAAGCCTGGGCAACAGAGCGAAACTCCATCTCAAAAAAAAAAAAAGTTATCTTTCATGGTATGTCCACTTTAGATTTCAAAGATCTTTAGGTAACTTAAAACCTTCTACTCATTTAATTGATGGATATTTGCTAGTTACATAAATAATTTCTAGGAAAAATGAAAGGCTAAAATATGCATTATGAAGCATAATTTAAGTGTATAAACTTTTGCTTATTTTTATTTCTTTATTATTTTTATTTTATTTTTTATACTTTTTTCTTTCCTTTTTGTGGAGATCAGAGTCTTGCTATATTGTCCAGTCAGGTCTTGAACTCCTGGGCTGAAGCTATCCTCCCACCTCTGCCTCCCTAAGAGCTGGGATTACAGGCATGAGCCACCTTGCCCAGCCTTATTATTATTATTATTTTTTGAGACGGAGTTTCACTCTTGGTTGGCCAGGCTGGAGTGCAGTGGCAGGATCTCGGCTCACTGCAACCTCCACCTCCTGGGTTTAAGTGATTCTCCTGCCCCAGCCTCTAGAGTAGCTGAGATTATAGGTGCCTGCCACCATGCCAGACTAATTTTGTATTTTTAGTAGAGACAGGGTTTTGCCATGTTGACCAGGCTCGTCTTGAACTCCTGACCTTAGATGATCCACTTGCCTCAGCCTCCAAAGGTGCTGGGATTACAGGCGTAAGCCATAGCACCTGGCCTGTTTTTATTTTTTGAGACAGAGTCTTGCTCTGTTGCCCAGGCTAGAGTGCAGTGGAGCAATCTCAGCTCACTCCAATCTCCACCTCCTGGGTTCAAGCGATTCTCCTGCCTCAGCCTCCCGAGTAGCTGGGATTACAGGCATGTGCCATCACACCTGGCTAATTTTTGTATTTTTAATAGAGACAGGGTTTTGCCATGTTGCCCTGGCTGGTCTCCAACTCCTGACCTCAAGTGATCCACCCGCCTCGGCCTCCCAAAGTGCTGGGATTACAGGCATGAGCCACCGGCCCGGCCCTTGCTTCTTTTTTTATATGCTACGAAGAGCTTACATCTTTGGATCTGTTAATGAACGTGTTTCTTTTTGCCACTTGGAGAAGTTATACCATAAGGGATTCATATGGCTGCAGAGAGTTGTGTCATGTGCATTCATGAGCTTTGCTTGTCTGCTATATGTTAAGTGACAGTCACAGTTAAAAGTGTCCAACTTCCCGTGTTCTCTGTGAAATGGAATTTGCTTTACTTAAAAGTTATCATTAATGTGAGTGATTGACACTATGCTTTGGAGCAATAGTTTCAGAGAAATACAACTGTGTATGTGTTTCTGTTTTGTTTTGTTTTTTTGAGACAGAGTCTCACTCTGTCTCTAAGGCTGGAGTGCAGTGACGCCATCTCAGCTCACTGAAACCTCTGCCTTGTGGGTTCAAGCGATTCTCCTCTCTCAGCCTTCCTAGTAGCTGAGAGGTGCCCACCACCACACAGGGCTAATTTTTAGTAAAGATGGGGTTTCACCATGTTGGCCAGGCTGGTCCAGTACTTCTGATCTCAGGTGATGCACCCGCCTTGGACTCCCAAAGTGTTGGGAATACAGGCGTGAGCCACTGCCCCTGGGTATACTTCTGTTTTCTAAGGAAAATAAAGTACTGTGGTTTTGTCTTAAAGCTGCAGTACTCAGATTAGGTTTGGGGCAATGGGTTTGGGAGTTTGTTTTTAGTTGGTTTGTTTGGTGAAACCTCTTTACACACCTCCAACATAATGAGGACACCAAAGAGCTTTTTTTTGTGTATTATAGCTATTAGTATTTACAGTTAAACATTTAAACATAAATTTCTAAAAAATATTTTTTCATTCCTCTCAGCACATACCTATAAAACATAATTTTTTTTTTTTTGAGACGGCATCTCTCTCTGTCACTGAGGCTGGAGTCCAGTGGTGCGATCTCAGCTCACTGAACTAGAGATCTCCCCTGTCCAAGCTTTTCTCGTGCCTCAGCCTCCCAAGTAGCTGGGACTACAGGCACCTGCCACCACACCCGCCTAATTTTTGTATTTTTATTAGAGACGGGGTTTCACCATGTTGGCCAGGCTGATCTTGAACTCCTGACCTCAAGTGATCCACCCATGTGGGCCTCCCAAAGTGCTGGGATTACAGGCATGAGCCACCACGCCTGGACGCTATAAAACATAACTTTTAAGAAAGCTTATTTAATGGTTCATTTAAAAATAGCAACAATGAATGAAGTACAATAAATACACCTCAGCAGCATTGTGAAATTAGTTCTGACCTCATGGGCCCCTTGAGCTTGGTCCTAAAGTCAAGGGTGAGTTTATTGTAGAATGCAAAAGAGCATGCCGACATGAATTTTTTTTTTTTTTTTTTTTTTTGAGATGGAGTCTAGCTCTCTTGCCCAGGCTGGAGTGCAGTGGCACGATCTCGGCTCATTGCAACCTCCACTTCTCCTGTTCAAACAATTCTCCTGCCTCAGCCCCCTGAGTAGCTGGGATTACCGGCATGCACCACCATATCCAGCTAATTTTTGTATTTTTAGTAGAGATGAGGATTCACCATGGTGGCCAGACTGGTATTTATATATATATAAAATATTTTAGTCTGAAATATGTTAAACACTATGAAATTTGCTTAAGGTCTTATAAAAGTTTGCTTTTATAACAACATACACTTTATCATATAAAACATATATAATATATAATATTTTATAATATATAATGCATATAAAATACATCATATGCATTTTAACACTATTAAATTTACTAAAATTCTTTAAAAATTTTGTTTAATATTCATGGCCTTGTTTCCCTGGTTTACTGTTTGCCGTCTTCACCTATATTATGAAGGGTTATTCTTCTTTTCTATGTAAATCTACCTAGATAGCAAAGATTCAGTGTTTTACCAGAATAATTTTTTGATTTTCATGTTGATTTTATTATGCCCTTGACTATTTAAAGAAACAACATTTGTTATTTAGGAGAGGGCTAAAGTTCTTTACAATCATGTTATTTTCTATCTATTTTTATTTAGTTTGGTTTCTTTTTCTTCTTCTTTTTTTTTTTTTTTGAGACAGAGTTTCACTCTTGTTGCTCAGGCTGGAGTGCAGTGACACGATCTCTGCTCACTGCAACCTCAGCCTCCTGGATTCAAGCGATTCTCCTGCCTCAGCCTCCGGAGTAGCTGGGATTATAGGTGCCCGCCACCACGCCCAGCTAATTTTTTGTATTTTTAGTAGAGACGGCGGGGTTTCACCATGTTGGCCAGGCTGGTCTTGAACTCCTGACCTCAGGTGATCCACCTGCCTCGGCCTCCCAAAGTGCTGGGATTACAAGAGTGAGCCACTGTGCCCCACCTATTTAATTTAATTTAATTAATTTATTTATTTTTTGAGATGGAGTCTCCCTCTGTTGCCCAGGCTGGAGTGCAGTGGCATGATCTCGGTTCACTGCAACCTCTGCCTCCCGGATTCAAGCAATTCTTCTGTCTCAGCCTCCTGAGTAGCTGGGACTATAGGCGTGCCACGCCTGGCTAATTTTTGTACTTTTAGTAGAGACGGGGTTCCACCATATTGGCCAGGATGGTCTTGAACTCCTGACCTCATGATCTACCGGCCTCGGCCCCCAAGACTGCTGGGATTACAGGTGTGAGCCACAGCACTGGGCTGCCCGGCCTATTTTTAAATGTTGTATTGTCCCTTACAAATGGGTAGGCAAATATTATTTCTCAGACACCTATGATCCTACATTAAGTGTTCAAATCTCCTGACCATTTTGGATTTTGTATTCCCAAAATTCCTAAATGTGAAATAAAATAAAATAAAAGGAATGATAGCTGAGCTTTCCCAGAAATACCATTGAAAATCGCAAAAGATTTGTTACTTCTCCGTATGAAAAGAGAGGTGCCAGAAATAAACAGGTATATTTGATATGTTACTATTGTTGAATTACCCGGGAATAGATGAGGTTATTTTTTATCAAAACAGAGGGAAAGTGTAGGAAAAATTTCCTTTCAATGGAAAATTAAATATTGCCTATAGTCCACCCTTTCACATTATCTGCTTTTGACTCCATGGGAGTTATTTTACAGCTTGTAAAATGTAGATAACTGATAGAAATGAAAAATAATTCTTGGCTCTAGACCTGTACATTTAGTCCTGCCAGTAGAGGTTCAGTGGAATTCCCTTTGCCACCCTGGAAGAAGCTGGCTTGAGCTCTGTTGGTGCGTTTGTTTCAACATTCCTTTGCTCCATACAAATGTAGCTTTTTTGACTTCTCCTTTGAGTCAGTTATAATCTGCTGTTTGAGAGTCATGATTTTATTTTATTTATTTATTTTTTTTGAGACAGGGTCTTGCTCTATTACCCAGGCTTGAGTGCAGTGATGCAAGCTTGGCTCACTGCAGCCTTGACCTCCTGGGCTCAAGTGGTTCTCTGACTCAGCCTCCTGAGTAGCTAGAACTACACACTTGAGCCACCATGCCTGGCTAATTGTTATTATTATTATTATTATTTTGTAGAGGGGGGTTGCACTATATTGCCCAAGCTGGTCTTGAACCCCTGGCCTTAAGCGATCTTCCCACCTCAGTCTCCCAAAATGCTGCTATTATAGTCATGAGCAGCCACTCCAGGCTGATGATTTTTATCCATTTTAATAAATGTATCTTTTAACAATGAGGACAATGGAAGTTAATTCATTACAAATGATGGAAGCCTATTGCATTAGAGTTTAATTCTCTTCCTTAATCCTTGTTGTGAATACCTGGAAGGCAGTAACTGAAAGAACATTAGCTGGTATTAACCTTCAACAACTCTGGAATATAGCCACATCTCCTACCTAGGGTAGCCCCTGGCAAGTTGCTTTCCTCCCCTACATCTACGCAGCTTCCTAGTTGGGTGGGGCTAAAATAATCTCTTCCTGACCTACACCAGCAGGTGGGACTGGATCAAGAGTCCTAGGCCTGAAAAAAAAAAAAAGAAAGAAAGAAAGAAGGAAAAAAGAAAAAGAAAGAAAGAAGAAAAAAGAAAAGAAAAGAAAAACGAAACAAAACAAAAAGAACAGGAAAAAGAAAAAAATCGAACTTGTGAAAAGGGGGAAGCCAGGCACGGTGGCTCATGCCTTTAATCATGAGCACTTTGGGAGACCAGGGCGGGTAGATCATTTTAGGTCAGGAGTTCGAGACCAGCCTGGCCAACATGGTGAAACCCCCGTCTCTACTAAAAATACAAAAATTAGCTGAGCATGGTGGCACACACCTGTGGTCCCAACTACTTGGGAGGGTGAAGCAGGAGAATCGCTTGAACCCAGGAGATGAAGGCTGCAGTGAGCCGAGATCACCATTACACTCCAGCCTGGGCAACAGAGTGAGACTCCGTCAAAAAAAAAAAAAAAAGAAAAAGAAAAAAAGAAAGAAAGAAAGAAAAGAAAGAAAGAAAAGAAGGGGAAATAAAAGAAAATTTAACAGGAGTCTCAATCCTGGAGGGAAAATATCAATCCTAGTCTGGAAGGGAATAGAAGCAGAGCAGGTTTAGAAGTTAGTCCTACTCTATTCATTTTATGGGGTCCCTGCAGCAGCTGAGTTGAAATGAAGATAAAATGAAGCTTAGAGCCAGGAGATGAATATTTTAAAAAACTTTTTACTGATGAATAATGTATATACATTTTAAGAATTAGACACACCAATGCAACCAGCACCCAGACCAAATGACAGAACACTACCAGCAGCTCAGAAACCCCCTCGTTTCTCTTGCAGAAAATTGATACTGAGTTCTTGTGACATGGATTAATTTGCCTGGTTTGTGCTTTATATAAATGGTATCACACAGCATTTTTTGAGAAAATGTCTTTCCGCAATTGTATTTTCATCCATAATGTTGCATGTAGTGGTCGGTCATTCATTCTTTAGTCTGGTGTCAACGGGAATTTGCGTGGTTTACAGCTTAGGACTATGATAATAGTGCAGCTATGATCCTATGATCATTCTTTTTTTTTCTTCCTCTTTCTCTCTTTTTTTCTTTCTTTCTCTTTCTTTCTTTCTTTCTTTCTTCCTTTCTTTCTTCTTTCTTTTCTCTTTCTCTCTTTCTCTCTTTCTTTCTTCAGGGTCTCACTCTGTTCCCCAGGTTGGAGTGCAGTGGTACAATCTTGGCTCCCTTCAGTCTCTGACTCCCAGGCTCAAGCCATCCTCCTACCTCAGCCTCTCAAGTAGCTGGAACTACAGGCATGCACCACCACACCCAGCTAATTTTTGTATTTTTAGTGGAGACAGGGTTTCGCCATGTTGCCCAGGCTGGTCTCAAACTCCTGGACTCAAGCAATCTGCTTGCCTCAGCCTCCCAAAGTGTTGGGATTACAGGCGTGAGCCACCACTCCCAGCATGATCATTCTTGTCCATGTTTTTTTTTATGACCATGGATTTCTGCTAGGTATATGCCTAGGAATGGAATTGCCAGGTCATATTTATTTCTATATCTGTCAATCTGTACATACACTAAAAATCAGGAGCTCATGCTGATGCCTCTGATTCTAATCTAACACAATAGGGTTCACTTTGCCCTTCCCTTTTTATTTGTAGTTCTCTCTTTGACAGTGAGATGCCTCCCTCCCACTAAATACAATGTATTTACTTATTTGCTCAATCTCAGAATACCCATAAAATAGTTTCAGAGTTGGTAACCCATATTCCCTAGCTCTGTCTGCTGAGAGGCCCTAGACACAGTGACACCTCAGTAACAATGAGGACATCCAGCACCCAGATCTTAGATTCTAAATACATTCCCTCAATAAAGGAAGCAGAGTTCTTTGGAGAAATGATTAAGTACAGGGTGGGGTCAGTGAAATTATAAAATAATCCTGGAACATCTTATGTCAGAAAGGAAGTGCTCAAAATAGAATAAGGGCATTTCAAACAAACACAAGGGGTGACTTGAAGATGCTTACATTGGCCATACCTGGGACAGTTGGAACAATGATACAAATGATGTTGGTCATGGATTATCACTGGTAGAATAAACTAAATATCCATGAGTCTATACTGAAATAATTGCATAAGTAATTGGGAGAGAAGGGACAGCTCTTCCTTACCACTGAATTACAATTAATAAATGGAGAAGGAATTATGAAAGTAGAAAAATCATCTGTTGGAAAACACAGTGGTAATTAATATTGCAGACAAGAATCACCAATGAATGCCAAAATTGGTTGGTGAAAGTATGATGATAAACAAGATATTTACATAGTCTCCAAGACAGCTCCTTGTAAGATACTCATTAAGTTCAGAAGGAAAAATAGGATTTTACAATGGAGAAATCTTTGCTACATCATCTCTCAAAGTTAACGTCTCCAGTAATGGGATGCAGCAATATCACATGTGCCTCCTGATATAATGCATGGGGAAGGGTATAACCTGCTTCTGTGGTGTTCTCACCAAAAACACAAAACCTCATTCTCATTGTGAGAAAGCACTAGACAAACTCAAGTTGGAGGACATTCTACAAAATAATTGGCCAGTACTCTTCAAGAGTGTCAAGGTTATGAAAGACAAAAATAGCCTGGATGCTTTAAAACTGTCAAAATTATGAGAGGAGGAGAAAGACGGAGGAGCCGTTCTGGATGGAAGGATCCCACTGAGACACGGCAGCGGAATGCCACGTGCAGTCCTGGATCGCATTCTGGAGGAGAAAAAGCACGTTAGTGGGGCTACTGGCAACACTGAATGAAGTCTGTAGATTCACAGACAGGATTGCATTAATGTTCATTTCCTGGCTTTGATAATTCTGTAGCTATGTGAGATGTTAATATTTGGGGAGGCTGGTGAAGGTTGTACAAGAATTTGCTGTACTCTTTTTGTAAACTCAAAATTATTTCCAAGGAAAAATACTTAAAAAGAAAAAGAAAGAGGGAATTGGATGGGTTTGTGTAATTCTTCAGCCAAAAACTCTGCTGGCACCTCTGCCTACAGCATGAAGGGTTACTCTTTTGAGAGTGGCATTCAAGGCCCCCCATAATCTGACCAAAATTTCCCCCAGATTTACTGCCCATTCTCCTGCCGCCCACACACCTCCATCAATCTCCATGGCATGAAGGATGCACTGCTTAGAAACTCCTACTCATGTTTAAAGACCCTTTCGGGGGGCCTTTACTTTACACCTTCAGGAAGCAGAGTTAGCTGCCAGCTCTTCCTTGGTCAACAGTCATCTCTCCTGGAAACCTTGATCCTCTTCCGGGGCCTCTGCAGGCCTAGCTGGCATTACTCACAACCCTCTCTGCCCTCAGGAGACTTATAACCTGCAAGTACACCCAGCAAAGAAAACATAGTGACAGGCCCAGGAAAGCAGGTTAGAGGCAGGGAGCAAGAGAATTCACATTCTTCTGTGATCATCGGTGTTATTATTACTCCCTCTTTGTTGGTGAGGCTCAGAGAGAGGAGGTGAACTGCCTGAAGCTACACCACTAGCAAGAACAAAGTCACGATTTGAACTCAATTCCTTTGCCTCCCTTACTAAGAGATACTAACTCGGAAATGCTCTGAACAGTCAGCCAAGCAATGTCTTCAGACAGTTTATATTTTACTCTGACTCTCACCTCAGGGAGCCAAAATAAGATCATCTCCCTAGAGAGCACTGCAGAGAAAATTCTCAAAGAGCTGGAGGGAAATGCCAACCCACTTCTACCCGCCGAAGCCACAGGGAATTCATAGCTTGATGCACTTTCAGGAAATAGCGACGGATTTCACAGTGAACTGAATTGACACTTAGCAATGTGAATCTGCAGCTAAAACATCTCAAAACCGACTACATGGACACCAGGCACTGCGGGTGGCTGAGTTCTTTTGCTGGGCCCTCAATTTAGGCCAGTTTCCTCCCCTTCTAAATGTGGATTTATCAATTCAAAAGACACTGGTTGGAAAACTGCTATTGCTAAGCTCTGGGAGAATCACAGAACCCATTGCATAGGGTAGCAGCCAAGATTAACTGAAAAATAGACTATGTAGCCATTGAATACTACTCAGCCATAAAAAGGAATAAAATAATGGCATTAGCAGCAGCCTGGATGGAGG
The DNA here is from genome assembly GCF_000001405.40 of Homo sapiens. Classification (NCBI taxonomy): domain Eukaryota; kingdom Metazoa; phylum Chordata; class Mammalia; order Primates; family Hominidae; genus Homo; species Homo sapiens. The sequence goes on along the minus strand of NW_025791762.1, from coordinate 115,505 downwards.
TGGAGAACATTATTCTAAGTGAAGTAACCAGGAATGAAAAACCGAAGATCGTATGTTCTCACTTATAATTGGGGGCTAAGCTATGAGGATGTAATGCATAGGAATGATATAATGGACTTGGGGACTGGGGAAAGGGAGTGTGGGAGGGGGTGAGGGATAGAATACAACACACTGAATACAGTGTACACTGCTCAGGTGACGGGCGCACCAAAATCTCAGAAATTGCCACTAAATAGCTCATGCATGTTGGCTGGGTGCGGTGGCTCACACCTGTAATCCCAGCACTTTGGGAGGCCAAGGTGGGTGGATCATTCGAGATCAGGAGTTCAAGACCAGCCTGGTCAACATGGTGAAACTCTCTCTACAAAAAATACAAAAGTTAGCTGGGGGGTAGTAGCGCATGCCTGTAATCTCAGCTACTCAGGAGGCTGAAGCAGGAGAATCACTTGAGCCTGGGAGGTGGAGGTTGTGGTGAGCCAAGATTGTGCCACTGCACTCCAGTCTGGGCGACAGAGTGAGACCCTGTCTCAAAAAAAAAAAAAAAAGAAGGAAAGAAAAGAAAACAACTTCATATCCTTTGCAGGGACATGGATGAAGCTGGAAACCATAATTCTCAGCAAACTAACACAAGAACAGACAACCAAACACTGCATATTCTCACTCATAAATGGGAGTTGAATAATGAGAACACAGGGACACGTGGAGGGGAACATCACACACTGGGGCCTGTCAGGGGGTGAGGTGCTGGGGGAGGGACAGCATTAGGAGAAATACCTAATATAGATGACAGGTTGATGGGGGCAGCAAACCAACATGGCACGTGTATACCTATGTAACAAACCAGTACATTCTGCACATGTATCCCAGAACTTAAAGTATAATTTAAAAAAAAGAACTTATCTATGTAACCAAAAACCACCTGTTCCAAAAACTATTGAAATATATATATATATGTAAAAGAACTTATCTATGTAACCAAAAACCACCTGTTCCAAAAACTATTGAAATACATATAGTTAAAATGAATAAGATCTATTATTTGATGGCAAAACAGGGTAATTACAGTCAACAATAATTTATTGCACATTTTATGTTTTTTTCTTTTTCTTTTTACTGTACCTTTTCTATGTACATTTAAAAGTAGCTAAAATAGTACAGCTGGAATATCTGTAGCACAAAGAAATGGTAAATGCTTGAGGTGACAGATACCCCATTTACCCTGATGTAATTATTACACATTGTATGCCGCATCAAAACATCGCTTGTGCCCCATAAATAGATATATCTACTATATACCCATAAAAATTAAAAATTAAACACATTTTAATCAGAAAAAATAAATCTATAATATAATTTTTACAAATTAAAAAAAAACAGACTATATAGTGCTACACACCAGGTTGGACATGAAGTCAAAATCATTAATGTTGGCTGTTTTAACTATTGGTATTATAACTGTTAATATTATTATTATTATTATTATTTTTGAGATGGAGTCTGGCTCTGTCACCCAGACTGGAGTGCAGTGGCACTATCTCGGCTCACTGCAATCTCCACCTCCCGGGTTCAAGCAATTGTCCTGCCTCAGCCTTCTGAGTAGCTGGGATTACAGGTGCGTGCTACCACATCTGGCTAACTTTAAAAAATATTTTTGGTAGAGACAGCATTTCACCATGTTGGCCAGGCTGGTCTTGAACTCCTGACCTGAAGTGATCCACCCACTTTGGCCTCCCAAAGTGCTGGGATTACAAGATGAGCCATGGCGCCCGGCCAATATTATTATTATTATTTATTTATTTTGAGACAGTCTTGCTCTGTCACCCAGGCTGGAGTGCAGTGGTGCAATCTCAGCTCACTGCAACCTCCGCTTCCTGGGTTTAAGCAATTCTCATGCCTCAGCCTCCTGAGTAGCTGGGATTACAGGTGTGTGCCACCACACATGGCTAATTTTTGTATTTTTTTGTATTATTATTATTATTTTCAGTAGAGATGCGGTTTCACCATGTTGGCCAGGCTGGTCTCAAACTCCTGATTTCAGGTGATCTGCCCACCTTGGCCTCCTGAAGTGCCAGGATTACAGGTGTGAGCCACCACGCCCAGCCATAACTCTTAGTATTAAACCTCTACCCTCACGCTACACTTGGCTTCTCCCTGTACCAAGCAGACCTCCCCATCTTCCTACAGCTTATCCTACCTGGGAGGATTCAGGGCCACATTTAAGAAAGGGGGCAGAGCCGGGCGGGGTGTCTCACGCCTGTAATCCTAGCACTTTGGGAGGCTGAGGCGGGCGGATCATGAGGTCAGGAGATCGAGAACATCCTAGCTAACACGGTGAAACCCCGTCTCTAATAAAAATACAAAAAATTAGCCAGGCGTGGTGGCGGGCGCCTGTAGTCCCAGCTACTTGGGAGGCTGAGGCAGGAGAATGGCATGAACCCGGGAGGTGGAGCTTGCAGCGAGCTGAGATTGCGCCACTGCACTCCAGCCTGGGTGACAGAGCGAGACTCCGTCTAAAAAAAGAAAAAAAAAAAAAAAGAAAGGGGGCTTATTGCAGCACAGTTCATAATTCCCGAGGCACAGAACCACCTTAAGTGCCCACTGACCAATGAGTGGATAAAATGTGGTATATGTACACCATGGACTAATACTCAGCCATACAAAGGAACGAAATAATGTCTTTTGAAGCAACTGGGATGGAGTTGGAGACCATTATTCTAAGTGAAGTAACTTAGGAATGGAAAACCAAATACCATATGTTCTTACTTAAGTGAGAGCTGAGCTATGAGGACACAGAGACATACAGAGTGATATAATAGACCCTGGAAACTCAGAAGGGGGAGGATGGGCGGGGAGTGTGGGATAAAAAGCTACATATTGGGTACAATGAACACTACTTGGGTGGTGCGTGCACTAAAATCTCAGAATTCACCGTTTTACAATTCATTCATGTAACCAAATATAACTTGTACCCCCAAAGCTACTGAAACTTTACAAAATTAATAACAATTTAAAAAGAAACAGCTCTCTTTCTGCCTCCACTGCCGCCATGGCGCCTGGGAAAAAGCTTGTGGTGAATGGAAAAAAAAGAAGCAGGTTCTGAAGTTCACTCTAGATTGCAGCCACCCCGTGGAAGACGGAATCATGGACGCTGCCAATTTTGAACAGCCTTTCCGAGAGAGGATCAAAGTGAACTGAAAAGCTGGGAAACCTGGTGGAGGGGTGGTGACCATCGAAAGGAGCAAGAGCAAGATCACCATGACATCTGAGGTGCCTTTTTCCAAAAGATATTTGAAATATCACACCAAAAAATTTTGAAGAAGAATAATCTATGTGATTGGTTTGTGTAGCTGCTAACAGCAGAGTTATGTTACTTCCAAATTAACCAGGATGAGGAAGAGGAGGAAGATGAGGATTAAATTTCATTTATCTGGAATATTTTGTATGAGTTCTTGAATAAAACTTGCGAACCAAAGAAACAAACAAAAAACCTTCTTTTTCTTTTTTTGAGACGAGTCTCACTCTGTCACCTAGGCTGGCATGCAGTGCCGTAATCATAGTTTGCTGCAGCCTCGAGCTTGTCATCCTTCCACCTCAGCCTCTTGAGTAGCTGGGCCTACAGGTGTGTGCCACTACACCCGGCTAATTTTTAAATTTTTTTGTAGAGAGAGGGTATTACTATGTTGTCCAGGCTGGTCTTGAACTCCTGAACTCAAGCCACCTTCCCACCTCAGCTTCCTAAAGTGCTAGGATTACAGGAGTGAGCCACTGCATCCAACCTCAAAAAAACTTAAATCTCAACCTGTCGTGTCGCCCCCTCCTTTTCCTTCCCTCAACAGAGACATCCACATTCACACTTCACTGGCTCACTTTCTCCGGCTATAACTTCTGTGCCTTGGGTTAGTAGCCCCTGTCCATCTGTGCAGAGAGCGGGCTAGCCTTGCCCAGTGCTCACTGAGAACTCTCCCATTGTGGGTCTTCCTGGTATCTCTGGAAATCCTCTCTTGTGCCAGAGGGAGAAGACAAGGAGGCTTTGTACAGCTCAGACCCTCCCAACCACTGAGGCTCTTTTAATTGGGCTGTCCTCTCAGCGTACTTCTCTCCCCAGAGAGATGACCAGCCCCTATTTCCTGTTTCCTTTGCCCTTTGCCTTTGGGTATGAGTTGGGAGAGCAAGCCCCTGCCAGATTCCCCACCACTTGTGCCCCGGCCCAGCCAGGCTGGGAGGACCTGTGCACATCCTGTAGCATTGCCTGTGGAGGCAACACAGGCGCCTGGGAGGCAAATCCCCAAATTCCTAAATAGTACCTGTGTGCCCTGGGCCACCTCCTAACTTCTCCAAGCCTCACATTCTACATGCTCCCATGACCATGGCAGGTACTGTCACAATCTGCATGGATTATGAGGCTACCTGCCAGGGTCATGGGAGCATTAAGTGAAAGAGGAACGTCTGCACATTAGGACACTTCATTCATGCAGGTGGTTATGAGCGTTTTCCCCTAACTGCACAGGTCTTGCCCCTCTGTGCCCCCTATATCCCATTTGTCCCTTTCTCACCTCCACTCTTTTCCAGATTCTCTATTTAGTGCCCTTCTTGGGACTTGAGAGTCAAGGGGCCTGATCATGCTGAGGACCATGAATTTTGGAACCAGATCTACCTAGCTTCCAAACTGGGATCTGCCACCCTCCACCCTTGAATCAAATATATTTAATAGATCTTATTTTTTAAAATGGGGATAAGGATATCTACTTGATAGGCTTACTGACGCAAGGATTAAATAGGATAATGCATATACAGCCCCAGCACAATACCGGGTTCAGAGAAGTTTAGCAAATAATAGAATAATAAATAATAAGAGGTATTATTAGATCCAGCTGGCTACCCCCTTGCTTTGAGGCTTGGCATATGGTTGGCATATTTCTCTAGTTCCTGCCACTGATGCCAGTCTCCCCTATCTTTAATTTCACTGGTCACTTTAGAGAATATTGGAAGGAGGAGGTTTGTTAACTGGGTCCACTGGCTCCATACTATCATTTTGCCCAGGAGTTTCCCGATCTTGGCTCACTGAAACCTCTGCCCTCTGGGTTCAAGTGATTCTCCTGCCTCAGCCTCCCTAGTAGCTGGGATTACAGGCGTGTGCTACCACGCCCGGCTAATTTCTGTATTTTTAGTGGAGACAGGGTTTCCCCATGTTGGCCAGGCTGGTCTTGAACTCCTGACCTCAACTGATCCACCCGCCTCTGCCTCCCAAAGTGCTGGGATTATAGGCATGAACCACTGCACCCAGCCAAACACTTGTTGATAGTGGCATCTTTTAAAATTTTTTTAATTTTTAATTTTTTAATTATTTATTTATTTTTTAGAACAGTGTCTCACTCTGTTACCCAGGCTGGGGTGCAGTGGTATGATCATAGCTCACTGCAGCCTCAAACTCCTAGGCTTAAGCGATCTTCTTGCTTCAGCCTCCCCAGTAATAGGCACATGCCACAAAGCCCGGCTAATGTTTATTATTTTTTTTTAATTTTTAGTAGAGATGGGGTCATGCTGTGTTGCCAAGGCTGGTTTCGAACTCCTGGGCTCAAGTGATCCTCCCACCTTGGCCTCTCAAAGTGCTGAGATTACAGGCATGAGCCACAATGCCTGGTCAATATGGCATCTTTACCTCATTCCTGATTTAATAAAGAATACATTTCTCCTTTTTCTTGTATGTACATGTGAACTATTTAAGATAAAAGTAGTTGGCCGGGCACGGTGGCTCATTCCTGTAATCCCAGCACTTTGGGAAGCCGAGGCAGGAGGATCACTTGAGCCCAGGTGCTCAAGACCAGCCTGGGCAACACAGCAAGCCCCTCATCTCTATTTTTTTTTAATTTGAAAAATTATAAGTGTAAAAATTAAAAAGTAGTTATCTTGTTAAGGAAATGTCCCATTATTTCTTTTATTTTTATCGTAAGTTTGTTGCTATTACTGTTTTTAAGTTAGGGAGGGTTGTTTAATTTCATCAAATATGGTTTCAGTATTTATTGAAATTATGTTTATTTTGCATTTTTGTTTCCTTGACCTTGTGACAGATGTGATGTACAGAGATTTTCCCAGAACTCCCCTTGGAAATGAGTAGCTAGCAAACTACTTTATGTTCAAAGTAGTGGCAAAGTTTGGACCACGCAATACAGAGAATTAGGACATTTAGATATCCATTTAGGGAAAATTTTAAGTTTGATTCCTTCCTTGCAACCACATAAAAATTTTAGATGGATTAGACATTAGACCTTGAGAAAACCTTAAAACAATTTGAAGAAAACATAGAAAAATATCTTTACAGCCTTGATTCAAGGAATCATAAGCAAGTTGTAAACACTATAAGCCAGAAAAGAAAATATTAGATTTGGCTACCTAATATTTAAAACTCCTGAATAATGAAAGACACCACCAAGAAACGTAAAGATAATGGAAGGCTGGAAGAAGACATTGCCAACATATATAACAGGCATTGCATTAATAATCAGAGTATATAAAGGAAAAGGAGGAAAATAGAAAAAAGTAATCGAGGCAAATAAAGCTTAACCTCACTCATAATAAATAGCATGTAAGTAAAAATAACAACAAGGTAACATTTTCCATCATCGAGCTGTCAAAATTTTAAATGATAAATATCCAATGTTGGAGAATGTAGGTGACCGCTAGGTTTACACTTCAGGTAGCTCCAATCCCGAAGTATTTTATGTAAATGGCGCCCCCTGCAGCCCAATTCTTACGTAGACCAAACATGTACTCCAGTGCACCTTGGAACCGCGCTGGAAGACCCCTGTCCCTCCTGTCCCTTCTGTGGGTTTAGTGACAATTTGGGGAACAGTTTTTGGCCTATCTGGCAAAATGTAAAAGACCCTTTGACCCAATAATTCCTCTTCCAGCCTTTCAGAAATACATGAATATGTACTATGTACATAAAAATATATGCAAAGGTATATTTATTAAAGTTTATTTTATATTGGAGAGAAAAAGGAAGCAATCTAGATGTCCGTCAATAGGGGACTGTTTGGATAAATAATGCTGCTTGCATCTATTCATGAGATATTTTAGATTTATCTGTACTCACATAGATTGATCTCCAAGTTTTTTTTTTTTTTTAATACGAAGTCTTGCTCTGTTGCGCAGGCTGGAGTGCAGTGGTGCAATCTTGGCTCACTGCAACCTTAGCCTCCTGGTTTCAAGCTATTCTCCTGCCTCAGCCTCCCAAGAACCTGGGACTACAGGCACCCACAACCACACCCAGTTAATTTTTGTATTTTTAGTAGAGACAGGGTTTCACCACGTTGGCCAGGCTGGTCTCAAACTCCTGACCTCAGGTGATCCACCCACCTTGGCCTACCAAAGTGCTGGGATTACAGGTGTGAGCCACTGCACCCAGCCAAGATTTAATGTTATGACTGAGGTAAACATGAATGAAAGCAAATCTTCAAAATATTTATGATTTGATCTCATGTATATACATTTGTCTCTGAATACACATTAGATAGACGGGGAATGCATAGATGTGGAACAGGCAGAGCCTACCAAGCCAAGGGAACTGGACCTGAATCGTTGGACAGAGGGAATTTGTAACAGAAAAGACTTTCATGTTTTTCTCTGTATACTTAATTACTTTGTGCTCTACCACAACAAGAATGTACTGTATATGTTTTTTGTGTTTCTTTTTTTCCCTTAATCTTAAATTCAAAATATAAGGTCGTCCCCTGGCTGTGAGCTACAAGAATCCTTATGGGTTTGGCAGTTCTTTGACAACTTCCCACCTGGCTAAATTATCAAGGAATGTCCTACCAACAAGCATGAGAAATTCTTGGCATTCCTGAAATAAATTCTTCTGAGCCAGCTCACTGGGCATCATAAACTCCTTGAAGACTTTAAAAAGATTTAGATCTGAGTCTGTCTCAGATTCTCGGGCTCAGAATCTGAATTTCTTCATTTGAGGCTATTATCTTGCTCTGGAGGAGGGAGTGAGAACTGGATCACTGGTTAGGGTGGTGACTGTTATGGACAACTGCACAGCCACAGCCAGGAACACAGAAGGCAGAGGCAGCCTTGATCTGCAAGGGCTCCAGTTAACCCCAATGGGGACCCTCAATGGACAAAGGCATTCTCCTAGGCTTGGTGATGAAAGTATTCCTCTTACAGCCAGGCAAGGCACTCAGGGCTCTGCAGCAGAGAAGTTGGAGCTGTAGCTTTTTTCCTTGGTGTTTTCACTAAAACTTAATTTCTTGTTGCACTTGTTGGATGGGCATGTCCCATAGGGGAAGTTTCCACTACTGTGTTCTAAACTTTGGACTGCTTGTACCATCTTACTTGTCCCCTCATTAATAATGAATTAAATAAAACCTTTAGTATATGCTAATTTCATATCTTTACAAGAGTCATGATTTTACCTTTTTTTTTGAAAAGTACCTTTTCACATTGCTATCACTCCCTTACCAGAGCAGTGAGTGTCTGGGTCTCCCTCTTAGGGGCAGACACTGTTCCATGTGATTAGAATTAATTTCTTGTTCTCGGTAGACAGAGAAAACCTTCCACACTCCCAGGAGACGAGAGTTCAGATCTTGTGCCATGGCTGAGAGTGATGCTGAGGAAGACACTTCTCTCTAGTCTCAGTCTGCCTGCCTGTGAAATGGGCTTATAACAAACTCCTGATCCCAGGCTCAGTCGCCTTGAGCCCATGACCTCACCCAACCCCTCTCCTTCCTCCCGTGCCCCCAGGAGGCGCGGGGACTCGGGGGGGGGGGCGGCCCCCTTTCCTCCGGAGGCTCCCGGGTGGCACGTCAGTGCCTCAGGTCCCGGGGGTTTCTGGGTTCTGCGCTGCCCATGGGGTGCGCAGGAGCCTCTGGAGGGGGCGGGTTCTCTCCAGCCAGAAAGCCCGGAGTCGCCCAGGAAGTTTGGCTCGGACTGAGAGCATTTCCTTCTGGGCCGGCCGGGCGCGATCCGGGAAGGGCGGCTGCGGTCGCAAGCCGCGCTGCTTTCAGCCAGGCTGGCACCATGCGGCCCCTGCTTTGCGCGCTGGCCGGGCTGGCCCTGCTCTGTGCCGTGGGCGCTTTGGCCGGTGAGTGGGGCGCGGGGCATGGCAGGGGACACGGAGCCGGGGAGATCCGCAGATGGTGAGGAAGGAATGAGCAAGAGACAGAGCTGGACACAGCAGCGAGATGGAGAGAGAGGCAGATACAGGGAGGGAGGGATGGAGAGAGAGATGGTGAGAGGAAACAGACTCAGAAAAAGGCAGAGAAGTAGAGCAACGGAGAGATAAAGGAGAGAGGGAAGAATAAACAGTGAACAGGAAAAAAGGAGAGGCCGAGACAGAAAGAGGCTTTCCCTGAACAGATATGAACCAAGATAGAAATAAAAAAGAGTTTGAGAGACAAAAGAGAAGAAGGAAAGAGAAAGAGTGACTAAAATGGCAAGGGGTGGAGGGAGAGAGGATAAGAAAAGAGAAAGATTTGAGAGATACCAAAAAGGAGAGAGAGAGGGAAGCTCGATGCCCGGAGTAGAGCTTGCAAGAGAGAAGGAGCCAGGATCCGGGGTGGGAGGTCACAGCTGCTGGGTGGGGCAGCCCCGGAGGCCAGCTCCATCTCAGAGGGCCTGCGGAGGCTCAGGCCTGGCTTTATAGGACATTGCTTAAGAAGCCAGACTCCAAAGGGTGAGTGACCCAGGCCAGCCCAGCACAGCCTTAAGGAGCCAGGCAGGCGAGCCCAGGAGAAAGGCCACCGACTCACCTGCCAGGTGGCCTCAGGTGGTTCTGCAGTTGGTGAAGAAGTCAGCCTCCCGGTTTCCAGGGAGCTTCTCTGGGGAACTGAGCTGTTTTGGGTGGAGATGGGGGACTGGATGGAGATGCAGAGCTGTGTGGGAGGGAGAGGCTGTCTCGGTACTCCATTAGCTGGGTTCCTTGCCTTTCGCTGTCCCCTTTCTTCCCCCCACCTCCCCCCTCAGCTTAATGTTGCCCCTTCACAGGTGAGGCTCAGACAGGGTGACTCATGTCAAGTGACTTACTAGACTGCAGTCTGGGGCGGTACACAGATGCTCATTCCACCACCCTGCACATTGCACAGGACTTTACAGTTTACAAGCCACAATCCCACTTAGCCAGGGATGGCTATTGCTCATTCCAGTTGCCCAGGTGAGGGGAAAGCTCAGATCTCATGATGGTGCCAACGCAGAGCCCTCACAAAGCATCCAGGCCTCCTGCCCCCACAAGTCGTTGCCCCGACCTTGGCAGAAGTGTCCTGTACTAAGATAGAAGCCCCTAGTGCCTTTCAGGGCCCGGTGAACTGTGGGATTAAGCACTTGGGGAAAGGATCCAGACCAGCCCTCGGGATCCCCTGCTTTGGGTGAGTCCCTTCCCCTCTCTGGTGCTGTTTCTTCCTCTATAAATTGGGGAGAATGATACCCACCCCACAGGGCTGGCCTCAGAGATTAGATAAGAGAGGAAGTGCCCAGCAGGGAACATGCATCAACATACATTCTCTCAGATGACTCCACTGATCTCTCTGAGCCTCAGTTTACCCACCTGTTAAAGATGACCACCAATGGCTTCCTCACAAGCTGCACGAGGAGTGGCTGGGACTCTGCTCAGCATAGAATACAGGCCCCAGTACACACCCTGCCACCCCCCTCCCCTTTACTCCCTCCCAGCTCAGCCCCAGGCTCCAGGAGCTAAGGGCACAAAGCAGCACCTGTGTTTCTCCCGGAGGGAGGAGGGAGCAGCCTGCCCACAAGTGGCTACTTTTGGTGCCCCTTTTAGCCACAACTTGTACAGAGACTTTAAACCCACTTTTAAACGTTATTTTTCTTTCTGATTATGCATGCTCATTGCTACAGATAAAGAAGAAAAGGAGTTTGGGAGGCCGAGGCGGGCAGATCACAAGGTCAGGAGATGGAGATCAGCCTGGCTAACACAGTGAAACCCTGTCTCTACTAAAAATACAAAAAATTAGCCAGACCTGGTGGCACAAGCCTGTAGTCCCAGATACTTGGGAGGCTGAGGCAGGAGAATCACTTGAACCTGGGAGGCGGAGCTTGCAGTGAGCCGAGATCAAGCCACCACACTCCAGCCTGGGTGACAAAGCAAGACTCCGTCTAAAAAAAAAAAATGAAGAAGAAAAGGAGGAAAGTATTCATGTGTTAGTGTAATTTCACATTGACTTCCTACATTTTTGTGCATATTCTTTCAGATTTTAGATGATATATCTTAACTCTTTATTATGAAAACTTTTGGATACAAAAAATACAAAATAATAGTATATGAAAGAATGATATAATGTACTATTAACTCTGCTTCAACAAGTATCAGTTCATGGGCAGTTTTTTCTTATCTATAGTCTCCACCCTTTCTCCCTTCCCTGGATTATTTTAAAGGAAATCCAGGCATTGTATGTTTTCTTTTTTTTTTTTTTCAGACAGGCTCTCATTCTGTCACCCATGCTAGAATGCAGTGGTGCAATCTCGCCTCACTGCAGACTCTGCCTCCCGGGTTCAAGTGATTCTTCTGCCTCAGCCTCCCGAGCAGCTAGGACTACAGACACATGCCACCACACCTGACTAATTTTGGTGTGTTTAGTAGAGACAGGGTTTCACCATGTTGGCCGGGCTGGTCTCGAACTCCTGGGTTCAAGTGATCCACCTGCCTCGGCCTCCCAGTGTGCTGGGATTACAGGTGTGCACCACCACACCTGGCTAATTTTTGCATTTTTTAGTAGACACGGGGGCAGGGGGGTTTCTCCATGTTGGCCAGGCTTGTCTTGAACTCCTGACATCAAGTGATCAGCCTGCCTTGGCCTCCCAAAGTGCTGAGATTACAGGCATGAGCCACCACACTGGGCCCCAGTCTTGGTTTCTTTTAGCAGCACTCAGAGAAACCTTTATCCCTGATGGCTTTTTAGACCATGAGCCACCACACCCGGCCCGCATTTTGGAGTTTTTTATAGAAACACTTGAAGAATAGTGTTCTGCTGCTTTCAAAAATAATCAAAACCCATGGATCATTTTGAATGAATCATACATTTTAATACAAATATTGGATGTGGTAAATTTATTATTGTATTGTATTGAATGTGGTCAAATATAATTAACCCCCAGGTGGTCAGGGTTGTTTTTCAAAGCAGAGTGTGATTTTGACAATTCGGAAGATACAGCAGCACCTTTCACAGATGCCACTGAGAAAACATTTCTCATCACCGAGCACGCAGAAATCATCTGCGTTGTGGCACTTTCTTACTGTTTGGGTCCAGATACAAAAGGTCTCCCCATAAGGCCTGGAAGTAGATGGAGCGGTACTTCTGCCTCAAAGGATGGGACCCAGGGGCCACGTCTCTTTAACTGGGGCAGCCAGCCCAGCCCAGCCGTCCCCTGGGGCTTCTGGGCTCCACAGCAGCCTGTACTCACCAGCACAGGGTGCCCCACCTGTAGCCACCATCCAGGGTGTACATCAGGCCCCAAGCAGGAGCTGGGCCAGAGAAAACAATGCAGCATCCAAGGAGGTCCATTTCCCAACTGGCGGTGCCTGGGAGAGCGGGAAGAAAAGAAGGAAGGGAGCCCTGTGGAGCCACAGCCTTGGCTGCTCAGGGTTAATCATCATAATCCTTCAGCCTTTCCACTCCCCTTGTCTGAGCCACTGACAGCCCCGTGGGTGCATGTGCGTGTCTACTAATTTTTTTTTTTTTTTTTTAATACAAGACAGGGTTTTTCTCTGTTGCCCAGGCTGGAGTGCAGTGGTGCAATCGTAGCTGACTGTAGTCTCAAACTCCTGAGCTCAAGCGATTCTCCCACCTCAGCTTTCCAAATACCTGAGATTATAAGCATAAGCCACCAATCCTGGCTAATTTTTTAATTTTTTTTTTTTGTAGAAACAGAGTCTCACTATGTTGCCCAGGGTGTCCTCAAACTTCTTTTCAAGCGATCCTCCTGCCTCAGCCTCCTAAAGCTCTGGGATTACAGATGTGAACTACTGAGCCCAGCCCCTGTAGCTAATTTTTGAGGCCTCTCTGCAGCTTCTGAAAGACAGAGAAGAATTAAGGATGAGCTACATGGGGGATTCAGGGCCTCAAGCCTACCCTACCCCCATTTTATGGAGGAGGCAGCAGAGGCTCAGGGAGGAGAAGGAACTGTCTCACAATCCCACAATCATTAGTGGCTGAACCAGGCTGAGAACAGGGGTCTCCAGCATGTTTTCTGCCATGATGCGTTCAAGTCAGCGCCATGGTGAGGACTCTGGTGCAGAGGGAGCAGGCAGTACAATGTTAGGCCCTGCTCCAAGCTTGTTCTCTCAGATGCACTCCGTGGAGGCCTTGATGACCTCATGGACAGTTGCTCCAGGGTGCACAGAGCACAATTGTGTCCAGATGTGAAGGATTAGTGCTGAGCCATGTGGGGAGTGACCTCAGCCCAGCCTTTTCCCTGGAGGGGTTTTGGAGCCAAGTTAGACCTTGTCACAGACACGTAGAGAACAGGGTGTTTTAGGCCAGTGGAGAGGAGCAGGCTCTGGTTGCTCCTGACTTCCAAAGCAGCCAGACTCCCACTTGGCTGGCAGGGTCACACTGCGTCCTCCTGGTCTGAGCTTGGGGGAGGTGTGTGAGGGGAGAGTGGCTAGGGTCTGGGAGAGGGCAGGTGAGCCTCCGGGGAAAGGCTTGGCCAAAGGCCTCTGGACAGAGCCAGCAGGGGGTGTGTGTATCCACAGACTCATGATGACAGGCCCTCTCCCAGGTCGGCCACTCTGTGGGTGAGAACAGCTCTTCGGGCCTCCTCAGAGCTTTTCCTCTCCAAGCCGAGCAGCCCAGTTTCAGCTGAGACAATTGAGTTAAAATTTGGAGTCCCAGACTGGGTGCGGTGGCTCATGCCTATAATCCCAGCAGTTTGGGAGGCTGAGGCGGGCGGATCACTTGAGCCCAGGAATTCGAGCTTAGCCTGGGCAACATAGTGAAACCCCATCTCTACAAAAAATACAAAACTTAGCCAGGCTCAGTAATGTGTGCCTATAGTTTCAGCTATTCTGGAGGCTGAGGTGGGAGAATTACTTGAACCTGGGAAGCAGAGGTTGCAGTGAGCCATGATCGTGCCACTGCACTTCAGCCTGGGTGACAGAGTGAGACCCTGTAAAAAAAAAAAAAAGGAGTCCCTTCCCATAGCCTTCTCTAGACCTGCTCCTGCCTCTCAAGGGCCTTCTCAGAATGTGGGGCCAGGATGGAGCATAGCCCCCAGTGGCCTCTCTCTCTCTGAATATTTTACATGGATGCCTGCAGCCCACCATGGCTGCTGCTTTCTGCTGACAACCCCGCCAGACAGCCAGCTTTTGTTATGGAACATTTCAAACCATGCACACAAAAGTAGAGAGAATTGCTGAATGCACCCCCGTGTGCTCATCACCCAGCTTCAGCAATTAGCAACTGTCAGCCCATCCTCTTTGCTCTAAATATCCACGCATGCCTCTCCCCCATCCCCACCCAGGCCTGGATTATTTGGAAGTAAATCCCAGACAGTATAGCATTTCATCTGTAAATATTTCAGTATAGGTCTTTAAAGGACTCACCATAAAAAAATAACCAAAGCACCATTATAATGTCCTCCTCCCTCCCCAGATTCAGCAATAACACCATGATCTTTTGCAGAATCTTTTCTAAGTTCAGTGGAGGGAAATAATGAAAAGGAGAATTTGAAAAACAGATTGTTCTCCACAAAAGATGCTCAGAGTGGAAGGACGTTTTGTTCCTGGTCTTGTTCTCATCCCTGAGTGGAAGAGCTGAGAGCTAGATAGAGTTGAAATCAGAAAATCACAGGGCAGGGGGCCCCATCTTGCTGAGATGAGGCCTGGAGGTGAGGGTGCCTGAGTTCCAGGCATTTGCAGATGGTGTGACCTTAGACAAATCACTCGGCCTCTCAGAGTTACACATCCATCACCAGCTCCATCCTATCTCAAGACCTGCCCCACTTCTAGACAACTGCAGATGACCCCTTGGCCAACCCATCCAACACCAAGGCCTTACAGCTACAGACACTGCATGTACAGAGATCCGTTCCATAACTCTCTCCCCCAGCTGAGCTTTGGATGCCCACATCCATGGCCACAGCCTTAATATTGTCACTATCTGAAGCTGCCCTAACTCTAAAAGCTAAAATTGCAATATTCTTTACCTCTTGTTCCTCCTGTGATTCCTAAGACCTCCAGTCTCTTCAGCCCCCATTTCTCCCAATTTATTGGCCCTCTTCTTGGCCTCATTTCTTTCCTTATCCCAGCTGGATTCCAGGGCTCCTCTCCTAAACCCCTGGCTGGCCAAATCTCAGTTCCTTGGCCCCTTGCTTCCACCACATCCATCCTGCAGACTCCTAGGTTTCAGCTCCATCCGGCCATCTGTCTTTGCACCCAGACTGTGGAGCACTGCTGGGGGAGGACTTGTGCTTCCAGGATTCCTTGTTGATGCCAGCTCATTCTTCATGGTCCTCCTCCACTGCATCCCTCATTCTGCACATCCCCTTTTGAAGCCCTCTTTTTATTCAAGTCCCTTACCTAGTGGTACACTGATGGACTGGCTCTCAAAAAAAAAAAAAAAAAAAAAAAAAAAGGACGGGGGGGGTGTTGATTTCTGTGATGTAAATGTTCTCATCATGGCCACAATTTTTTTTTCTTTTTTTACTTAAAAAATTTTTCTTTTTAGAGATAGGGGTCTAACTATGTTGATCAGCCTGGTCTCTAAGTCCTGGCCTCAAGTGATCCTCCCACTCGGCCTCCCAAAGTCCTAAGATTGCAGGCATGAGCTACCATTTCCAGACACCATGGTCACTATTTTAATGTCTGTTTTTAGCAACCTACTCATAGAATTCTTGAAATTTTAACATCTAGCTCTCCTCCCTACGTGATCTCCATCTTACTGCACCGAGTAAATAGAGGCTATCAGGTGGGAGCTCACTCCACTTTTTGGCCCTCTAGTTAGATGGTTTACCTTTGCCCATTTTTGCTTCATTCCCTCTGTCTTCCTTCCAGATGTGTTCCCACCCGCTCTGGATCCAGGGCCTCCCATCAATTCAGGAAGTGCATTCCTTGGGTTCTCTTGTCTTCCTCCTGTCCCTCAGGCTGTAAGCATGGTTGTGTTTTCCAGTGTTTAAAACAAAAACAAAAACAAATGACAACCATAAATACTTCTCTAGACCTTGCGATCCAATCTCCCTTCCTTCACAGCCAAGCTTCATGAAATTTTCCAGAATCCAAGTTTCCACTCCCAACCTCACCTTCCCTTCTCATGTCATGGTAATCCAAACTCTGCTTTTCCTCCACTCCTAAAAGTGCTGGGGTGAAATTTAGCAGGGCCTTTCCCATGCTGTGTTTCCAGTCCTTATTTTGCTAGACCTCCCTGCTGCTTTCGGCTATGCCAACACTTTTCATCCCCTGTAGAATCCGTAAAGCTCTTGGCTTCTCTTGACTGCTGGGGCAGCACTCTCCTTCCTGAGTGTCAGTGTTCTCCAAGGTTCCAGCCAACCCTGATGCCCCACAGGCATCTCAGGGTTACCAACTCTGAAATCCGAGCTTGGAATCAGGGATCTCAGACTTCTGTTGTGAAGGTTGATGGTGCCTGGAAGAGCTAACTCAAGGAGAACAGTGCTCAATCAGGAGTTGAGCGGGTTGAATGGCAGATCCTCTGCTTATGAGTAGTGACTCTGGACACATCCTTTCACCCTTCTGTGCATCAGTTTTCCTACATGTAGATTGGGCATAAGAACAGGCTGTTGGAGAGGTTAAGTGATCACCCTACATGGTGCATGGTAAGCACTCATCACATGACAGCTGTTACTAATGGGTTCCCAGTGTCAATGCTGCTACTGAAATACCTCCTCTCATTTTCTTTCTCACTATTCCTACAGCTACTCGGGAGGCTGAGGCAGGAGAATCGCTTGAACCGGGGAGGCAGAGGTTGGAGTGAGCTGAGATTGCACCATCACACTCCAGCCTGGGCAACAGAGCTAGACTCCATCAAAAACAAAACAAAACAAAACAACAACAACAAAAACAAACATCAGAACTGGTTTATGAAAGCCTCTTGGTTAAAGCTCTGTCCCCTTGGCTTCATTTCCAGGACTTCCCTCTCCAGTCTCTCTCCCACCCACCCTGTATCTCCAGCCACTGCAGGCTCCCTGCAGGGTTTGCACAGTGAGCCATGCTCTTTCAGGCCTCTCCATCATTGCAGGTGCCATTCTTCCTGGCTGAAGCCCGCCTTCCCTTCCTCCCTGGGCTTCACCTCCTTGAGGAAGTCCATCTGGGTCTGTAGGTGACTGCCACTGTAGAGATTGGTGGGATTGAGATAACTGACAGTCGCACACTGACCCCCACCTGGGCCATCCTCTTCTTGCTCTTGAGTTTGCTTTGAGGACTGACCTCACTTGAGCCCAGTATTTACAGAAGTCTCTGGCATTGTGGAAAACTAAGGGTCCCACAGTGACAAGACTTGTTTTCCCACAGCTGCAGAACCCTTCATCGCTCCCTGAGGAGACTCAGCTCAGAGCACAGCATGTGACAGACACATGGCTATGCAATGCCATCTAGATGTCATAGAGGAGGTAACAGGGTGCTTTGGAAGGACATGTGGTTTCAGGACCACCTTCTAGGATGATGTTTTTATGGGCAGATGCAAGCTTGCTTTGGAATGTCAGGACATCAGGCCAATCCTGCCCTGGGGCCACCTTGTCCAACATCACCCTCCCATCTAGGCTGCCAGGCTGGCGAGCCCCCAATGGACCCTGCCTCCCCTAAGGCCTTACTTACCCCCACCAGGACATTTCAGCATCATTACTGGATGGGAAGGTGGAAATCCAGTCACTGTTTTGTTATATAGCCACGATTCCTAACTTGTGTGGGGAAAAGTTTACATCTTTATTGTCACAAGCCTTTAACTGAAATTGAGCATTCCCATTCATCATAAATTACAGACAGCAAGCCGTGGTGTTAATAGTACTATAACTTTGTCACCAATAGAAATCCAGATAATTTCATCTTCTTCTAGTTATGAATAGAAGAACATTTATATCATTCATTATGTCAAAATTTCAGTTGTTGTTAGGCCTGATGTTAGATCATGTGAGTTAGTGAGTTAATAAATACATTTTTTTTTTTTTGAGGCAGGGTCTCTGTCTGCCGACAAGGCTGGAGTGCAGTGGTGCAGTCTCGGTTCACTGCAACTTCCACCTCCCAGGCTCAAGCAATCCTTCCACCTCAGCCTCCCAAGTAGCTGGGACTACAGGCACATGTGCCACCATGCCTGGCTAATTTTTGTATTTTTTTGTAGAGGCAAGGTTTTGCTATATTGCCCAGGCTGGTCTCGAACTCCTAAGCTCAAGCCATCCACACACCTCAGCCTCCCAAAGTGCTGGGATTACAGGTATGAGCCACTGTGCCCGGCCAATACATATATCCAAATTTTTAAATTTTGTTTTTGATGGAGTCTTGCTCTGTCACCCAGGCTAAAGTGCATGGTACAATCTCGGCTCACTGCCATCTCCACCTCCCAGGTTCCAGTGATTCTCATGCCTCAACCTCCTGAGTAGCTGGGACTACAGGCATGCACCACCATGCCCCGCTAATTTTTTGTATTTTTGGTAGAGATGGGGTTTCACCATATGGCCAGGCTTGTCTCAAACTCCTGATCTCAAGGGATTTGCCCATTTCGGCCTCCTAAAGTGCTGGGATTACAGACGTGAGCCATCGTGCTGGGCCAAAAAGTTTAATTTTAAATATTTGAATTTTTTTTTTTTTTTTTTTTTTTTTGGCAGAGTCTCTCTCTGTCGCCCAGGCTGGAGTGCAACGGCATGATCTCGGCTCACTGCAACCTCCATCTCCCGGTTCAAGCGATTCTCTTGCTTTGGCCTCCCGAGTAGCTGGGACTACAGATATGCATCACCGTGCCCGTTTTCTTTTTGTATTTTTAGTAGAGACAGTTTTCCCACATTGGCCAGGCTGATCTCGAACTCCTGACCTCTGGTGATCCGTCCACCTCGGCCTCCCAAAGTGTTGGGATTATAGGTGTGAGCCATCACGCCTGGCCTAATACTTGAATAATATTTTAAAGCAATTGGTGCTCTTGGTAATTCTATATGTTTTATTTTTTGCATTTAAGGCATTATTCTGAGAAGAGGTCTGTAGGCTTCACCACACTGCCAATGGGGTCCATGGCATACACAGGGAAAAACCATTAAGAACCCTGAGTAAATTTCAAAATCCCAGACCTGTCATTTGGCAGAGACACCACCAGGGAGCAGAATAACAAAAAGAATGTGAGCTCCAGGCTGCAAAGTCCAAAAGGGAGAAGGTAATCTACACGCGCTTTATCCAAACCTGTGACTGAGTGCCAAAAAGGAAGGAGCCTTAGAGAGCGAGCCCCATAGGATATTGTCATCTGGGGAGATTGAGGCAGGTAGGCGCAGAGCCTGAGTGAGGAAAACCCAGGTCCCGCAGCTCCCAGTCCTTTTCCACTGCACCCCACTGGACCGCCAGCTGCTTCTTAGGACCTGGCTAATGAAGCAGAACGTGGCACCACTCCTGTCCTGGACGTTACCCACCTTCTCACTCTAGATGGTAGAGAAGACCGTGGATCACCTGGGGACACAGGTGAAAGGCCTGCTGGGCCTGCTAGAGGACCTGGCCTGGAACCTGCCCGGGGGACCCTTCAGCCCCGTCCCCGACCTCCTCGGAAAAGGTGAGCAGTGCAGGTGGCAGAGGACAGCCTCTGGGCTGCTGTCATCTGGCGCTGTGCAGGCGAGACGGGGACGGCTGCTACGCCGCACAGGTGTAGCCTGGATAGCAGGGAGGGTCCCAGCGCCCCCTGGGGACGGAATCGGGACCGCATCATCCCTGCTCCCCTCCCCTACCACCCCGCCCCCACACCCGGTCGCTGCCTCCCAGCGTCAAATGAGGTTCTGGAAGAGCCGGCCCTAGATGACATCTCAGCACAACCCCGGCGCAGAGAAGCTACCTGCTTCATTGGCCTTCTCACGACTGGAGCTCCTCAGTTCCTTTCATTTCCCCCTGAGGAGCCACTCCTGTTCCACCCCAAAACCGTCGCAGGGAAGACGGGCACCCCCACTGATCAGGCAGGGATGGGGTTGCACTCTGTTCTCTCCTTGATCCCTGTGTCCCTGGCGCAGGAGGAGTTCCCGGGGGCTGGGGAGGGGAGGGAAGGCACTGCTGAGCACCACGGGGGCGGGTACCCTGCAGCACCCCAGCTTGCTCAGTGGAGGCCGCTGCTTTCTTTCAGATGGCTTCTGAGCCCCGGAGCTGGAGCCCAGCAGCTGGAGGTGGTGCACCTGCCAGGCAGCACCCTCTGATAGCCAGCGCTGTCCTCTCGCCTTCCTTCCTCAGCTTCGTGTGAAATAAAAGCTACTGTTTTTGGTCTCCTCTGTGTCTGCTGACAGAGTAACCCGTTTACAGCCCCCTCTCCCTCCACTTCCATGCCTGGGGGAGGCCGGCCACCCCCTCCAGGCTCAGACCTGGGGACACGCCCACTCCCGCCATCTGTGCTTTAGCATTCCCTTATTTATAGGGGCAGATGGAGCAGGGGTTGATTCACAGAGGTGGGGGCCCTTCGAGTGGCCTTGCGTCTCAAAATGTGGCCATAGGTGAGAAGCAAGGGGAGCACGGTCTCAGGACCCACCCGGACTCCTTAATCCAAATCTGCATTGCAATCAGACCCCCAGGGAATTTATGTGTCCATTAAAGAGGTTTGTTGTTGTTTTAAAAAAAATTTCCTATGAAGTGGAATTCAATGTAAAATTCATCATTCTAACCATTTTAAATTGTGTAAGGCTGGGGGCAGTGGCTTACGCCTATAATCCTAGCATTTTGGGAGGCCAAGGTAGGAGGATCACTTGAGCCCAGGAGTTTGAGACCAGCCTGGACAACATGGTGAAACCCCATCCCTACAAAAAATACAAAAATTAGCCTGGCATGGTGGCATGGTGGTGCATGCCTGTAATCCCAGCTACTCAGGAGGCTGGGGTAGGAGGATCACCTGAGCCCTGGAGACCAAGGCTGCGGTGAGCCATGATTGTGCCACTGCACTCCAGCCTGGGTGACAGAGTGAGACCTTGTCTCAAAAAAATAATGATAATAAAATAAATAAATTGTACAAATGCAGTGGCGTCCAGTACATTCAGAAGTTGTGCAGTCATCACCGCCAGTTCCAGAACATTGTTCTCACTCTAGAAAGAAACTCTGTATCTATCAAGCAGTCACATCCCATTCCTGCTGCCCCCCACCCCCCCTGGAAACCACTGATCTCTGTCTCCATGAACTTGCCTCCTCTGGACATTTTAAATACAGTAGTCCTGCTTTATCTGTGGTTTCACCTTCCATGGTTTCAGTTACCTGAAGTCAACCACAGTCCTAAAAGATTAAACTCCAGAAATAAACAATATATGAGTTTTCAATTGCACATCATTCTAAGTGGCGTGATGAAATCCCTCGCCATCCCACTTTGTCCCACCCGGGACATGAACGCTCCCTTTGTCCAGCATGGTCCACGCTGTCTACACTTCCAGCCTGTTAGTCACTTAGGAGCCTTCTCCGTTACCAGGTTAACGGCCACAGTATCACAGTGCTTGTGTTCCAGCAACACTTCATTCACTTAATCAAGACCCAAAGTTCAAGAGCAGTGTTGCTGGCATACGTGGTTGTTTTTCACGTAACTCTCCCTTCACAGAAGCTGGCATATTGTTCTAGTTTTTCTATTTTATTCTTAGCTATTGTTACTAATCTCTTATGGTGACTAATTTATAAATTAAACTTCATAGGTATGCATGCATAGGAAAAAACATAGTATCATAGAAGTAGATACTATTGTAGTTTCAGGCATCCACTAGTGGTGTTGAAATCTATCTCCTGAAGGTAAGGAGGTACCACAGTAAATAGAATCATACAATATGTAGCCTAGCTGTATCTGGCTTTTTCCTCAGAGCATAATGTTTTCAAGGGCCATCTGTATTCTAGCATGTATCAGTACTTCATTCCTTCTTATGGATGAATAATGTTTCATAGTATGAATATACCACATTCTATTTTTTTTTTTAGACAGAATCTCACTCTGTCACCCATGCTGGAGTGCAGTGGCATGATCTTGGCTCATTGCAACCTCTGCCTCCTGGGTTCAGGCGATTATCCTGCCTCAGCCTCCCGAGTAGCTAGAATTATAGGTGCGCACCACCACGCCTGGCTAAATGTTGTATTTTTGGTAGAGACAGGGTTTCACCATGTTGGTCAGGCTGATCTCGAACTCCTGGCTTCTTGATCCACCTGCCTCGTCCTCCCAAAGTGCTGGAATTACAGGCGTGAGCCACCACACCTGGCCCACATTTTATTCATTTATTCGTCAATTGATGGACATTTGGGTCGTTTGGACTTTTTGGCTATTATGAATATTGGAGAATGTTCCATGTGTGCTTGAGAAGAACATGTACTCTGCAGCTGTTGAGTGGAATATTCTGTAAATGTTTGTTAGGTTCTCTAAGTCTATAGCTTTGTTCAGGTGCACTGTTTACTTATTGATTTTCTGTCTGGATGTCTTCTATCCATTATTGACAGGGGAATATTAAAGTTTTTCTACCATCATTGTATTTATGTTTATTTTTCTTTTCATTTCTGTCAATGTTTGCTTTACATATTTAAATGTGCTGATGTTGGGTGCGTATATTTATGATTGTTATATCTTCCTGATGAATTTATCCTTTTATCATTTTAAAATGTCTTTCTTTGTCTCTTGTGATAGTTTTAGGCTTAGAGTGTATTTTGTCTGCTATAAGTATGTCCATCCCCACCCTGTTTTATTTAGTATTTGTATGCACTTATATTTACTGCACTTATATTTAAAATAATTATCCTAGGGAAGGACTTACTATTGACATTTTGTTAAACATTTTTTAGTCTGTGTGGTTCTTTTGTTTCTTTTTTTCTCTGTTGTTGCCTTTGTGTTTCATTGGTTTTTTTGTAGTGATATGTTTTGATTCCTTTCTCTTTTCTATTGTGTATCTTCGATAGGTATTTCTTTTATGATTATCATGAGGCTTGTATAAAACATAGTTATAACAGTCTATTTTAAGCTGATAACAACTCAATTTTGCTTGCATTAAAAACCCTGTATGTTTACTTCTCCCCACCCCATACTTTGTTTTTGATGTCGAAATTTATACATTTATATTGTCTCTACTCACACTTTTTGTAGTTATAGTTATTCCTAATAGTTTTGTCTAATTTTTGTACTGAAATTAAGTGTGATTTTTATACCACCTTTATAGTATTACAACATTCTGTATTTGTCTATGTATTTGCTTTTTCCAGTGAGTTTTATGCATTTATTTGCTTTATGTTGCTGTTTAGCATTCTTTTTTTTTCAACTTGAAGAGATTCTTTAAGCATTTCTTGTAAGGCAGATCTAGTGGTGATGGATTCCTTCAGCTTTTGTTTGCCAGTGAGTATCTCCTGTTCATTTTTGAAAGATAAGTTTTCTGGATATAATATTTTCAGTGGGCACCATTTTTCTTTCAATGTTTTAAATATATTACCTTACTTCTTTCTGACCTGCTAGGTTTCTGCTGAGAGACCCACTGATGGTCTCCTAAAGGTTCCCTTGTATATGATGAGTTGCTTTTTCCTTACTGCTTTCAAAATTCTCTTTGTCTTTGAATTTTGAAAATTTGATTATAAATTTATCTCAGATTTCTTTGGGTTCTTCCTATTTCGGATCCTTTGGGATTCATGAATCTGGAGGTCCATTTCTCTTTTGAGGAGTTTTCAACCTTTCTCTTTCTTTCCTTTCTTTCTCTCTCTTTCTTTCTTTCCTTCCTTCCTTTCTTTCTTTCTTTCTTTCTTTCTTTCTTTCTTTCTTTCTTTCTTTTTTTCTTTCTCTCTCTCTCTCTCTCTCTTTCTTTCTTTCTTTCTTTCTTTCTTTTCTTTCATCTCTCTTTTCTTTTTTTTTTGATGGAGTCTCACTCTGTTGCCCAGGCTAGAGTGCAGTGGTGTGATCTTGGCTTATTGCAGCCTCCGCCTCCCACATTCAAGCCATTTTCTTACCTCAGCCTCCCGAGTAGCTGGGATTCCAGGAGCCTGCCACCATGCCCAGCTAATTTTTGTATTTTTAGTACAGATGGAGTTTCACCATGTTGGCCAGGCTGGTCTTGAATTATTGACCTTAAGTGATCCACCGGCCTTGGCCTCCCAAAGTGCTGGGATTACAGGCATGAGCCACTGTGCCTGGCTGTCAGCCATTATTTCTTTAAACAAGTTTTCTGCCCATTTCTCTCTCTCCACTTCTGGGTCTCTCTCTCTCCACTTCTGGGACTTCTGTAATGTATACATTAGTTCACTTGAAGGTGTCCCTTAATTTCCTTAGGCTTTCTTAACTTTTTCATTCTTTTTCTCTTTATTCGTCTGTGATCAAGTCTGATGTTGAAACATTCTCTTGAATTTTCAGTTTAGTTAATGTATTCTTCAGCTCCAGAATTTCTGTTTGGTTCTTTTTTATGGCTCTGTCTCTTTGTGGAAATTTTCATTTTGTTCATACATTGTTTTCCCTTCCTTCCTTCCTTCCTTCCTTCCTCCCCTCCCTCCTTCCCTCCCTCTTTTCTTTTTTTTCTTTTCTTCTTTCTTTCTTTCTTTTCTTTCTTTCCTTTCCTTTCCTCCCTCCCTTCTTTCCTTCCTTCTTTCCTTCCTTCCTTCCTGCCTTCCTTCCTTCCTTCCTTCCTTCCTCTTTTCTCTTTTTTCTTTCTTTCCTTTCTTTCACTTGCAAGGGTGCAACAGGCAGCACAGCAGAGAACAGGCTATCTGCGCATGTATTATTTTCTTGATTTTGCTTAATTCATTGACATTCTGTATGGTGATTATTTTGAATTCTTTGTTAGACAATTCATAGATCTCCATTTCTTCAGGGTTGGTTACTGGATATTAATTTTTTCCTTTTGGTTGTGTCATATTTCCCTGATTCTTCATGTTCCTTGTAGTTTTGCCTTGGTTTTGTGCATTTGAAGACACAGACACCTTTCCCAATCTTTGTGGACTGGCTTTGAGAGGGAAAGAACTCTGCCAATCAGCCTGGCTACAGATTCCAGGAACTTCTCAAACCTTGTGTAAGAATGTGTATGCTCCACTCCTCTCCTTCCTTCCTGGTAGAGAAGTCTCTGGATTGTGCACTTTCTCCCAGTCTTACAAAGCCATGCTAGTTGCAATTAGCTACCCACTCCATTAATTTGCTTTTAGCTTCAATCACGTGTTTAAATTATGCCAGTTCTTCCAGAGCTCTGGGTGAGGTGGGATAGAAAGTGATTCCTTGGGCAGCACCCCAAAATACTGGGAACAATAAATATATACTCCACTCACTTTTCGTTTCTCACTGATGGAGAAGTCATGGACTGAGATACTTTCTGCAGGCCCTGAGCTATGCTAGTTAGATAAAATTGCTCTTGTCACCCATTTCAATGTGGCTGCTCTCTCTTTCAAATTATGGACTTGTCATAAAGGTACTTTGCTTTGTATATCATTGTTAAGTTGATGCTTGTATGGGAGGATGAGGACTGGGACCTCCTATTTCACCATATTATTGACATCACTACCTTACATTTCTTAAACTTTCTCTTATATTTTTCATCTCTTGATCTCTATTCTCATTGAGTTTTTCAGGTCTTCCTGTTTACTGTTTCTTTCTTCAAACATATATAATTTGCTATTAAACCCATCTTTTTGGATTATTAATCCAAAAACTATGTTTTTAATTTCAGAAAGTTATATTTGAATATATTTCAAAACAGCATGTACTTTTATAAAATTGTGCCATCTTTATGTTCTTGAATTCTTGTTGCCTGGTCCTATGTAAATGTTAACACTTAGCCCTCTAATTAACTGGTACTAATACCTTCCCACTCTACTATTGGCATCATGGCAGCAGCTTATATACTTCAGAGTGTAGAATTTAGTTTTTTCTTTGTTTCTGTCCAAAGATTTTAAAAAATTTCTTATGAGCTTAGCTATGCATGTAATATTTGTTGTACTTACCCCAGTATTTCTTGGTGTCTCTATTTGAAGAGGTTTGGGGTCATTTTAGTCCACCATCTTTTTTTGTTGTTGTTTTTTGAGATGGAGTCTCAGTCTGTCGCCCAGGCTGGAGTGTAGTGGTGTGATCTCGGCTCACTGCAACCTCTGTCTCCTGGGTTCAAGCAATTCTCCTGCCTCATCCTCCTGAGTATCTAGGATTACAGGCACATGCCACCAAGCCTGGCTAATTTTTTGTGTTTTTAGTAGAAATGGGATTTTACTATGTTGGCCAGGCTGGTCTTGAACTCCTGACCTCAAGTGTTCCTCCCACCTTGGCCTCCTAAAGTGCTGGGATTATAGGTATGAGCCACTGCACATGGCTAAGTCCACCATCTTATAGGACCTGGAAATCAGTTTATTCTATTCATGTGAGGAAACTTAGGCCATAGCGGGAAAATGGCTTGGCCAAGACTAACTAGCACTTCAGTTACAGAGTTTGAATAAGAGCTCATATCGCCTAATATAGTGGGCCTGTCAGGATGATCGAGGTCCCTATCCTGCCAGCATTGCCCTCCTATGCTTCCCTACCAAGCCAGAAATAAGCAATGCAATTCTCCTCATTAACCTACATGAACACCTTGCCTCAAGGTATCCACCAGGATACTAGAAAGTGGTTAAGGTGCGGATTTTGGATGCTTTCCCTGCAGAACACAAAACAAGTCTCTGAGCTGAGCTTAGTTCAGTGCTAAAGGCTGACATGAACCTTTTAGACCGGCTGGGTGGTGATGGCATCAGAGAGAGAGCTGTTGGCTGCCTGCCTCTGCTCCTGCCAGAAGACTCTCTTGGTCTCTTCCAGCCTCCATGCCATGGCTGCCTTGCTCAGTGTCTTCTTCTGTGGGGGGAATACCTGCTCCTCATTTACTTGGGCATCTGAATTTATGGCCTCTCAAAGTGGGCAAGACACAACACGATAGATGCCCTCACTGGCAATGCAATTAGAGACTGTCACTCCATGTGCTGGCCAGGGGAGCCCTTCTGCCAGCCCATAAAGGGGATGGAGAGGTGCTTCAGGGATATGAAATTATGTCTAGTGAAACAGATAAATTAACTGATGTTTACGCTTGTGCTCATTTAAGCTCCAAGAAAGACTTGCTTAAAAAGCAGCCACATAAATTGTGGAAGAGGAAGAGGGAAGATTAATTGAAATATTAAATCAACTTTATGGGTGTGCAGGAGAATGCATTTCAAGCGCATTTGTCACCAGCTCACTGAGGCAGCACCATTTAGGATGCTGATTTATAAATAGGAAGGGGAATGGCTGAGAAATCGGAGTGCTTCCATGTGCTACCAAATTAGAGGAGTCCTATGAGAAAGAGTGTTCTTTGGCACTTGTCTGAATGTAGAATCTGGTGAGGTCCTACCCTTCTCAGTTTTCTTGTTCTGAAACGATGGGGGACTGTGCTCTGGACAGTGGGATGTGCAGGCCAGGTAATAGCAGGGCTCCCAGAGGTGTTATTTCAGTGCGTGAGTCCACAGAGAGGCCTGGTGGTAGATGGGGGTTTACATATGCACCTCTCCCTGTGCCAATGTCCCCTCTGCATTTTCCACCCAAAACTTAAGATGCTCTAATATGCTAGTCTGCTAATTAATCTATTATCTGTCTCCTGTTAGTAGAATGTAAGCTCTGTGAGGGACAAGCTTTTGTCTGCTTCATACCCTGCTCTGCCAACCGCCCTAGAATAATGTGCCACAGGTAGATGCTCCATGAGCATTTGTTGATAGAATGACTAAGCTCTGTTTCAGGCTGGTGAGACCTGCCATCTGTTACTGTGCCTGGCTGCCCTGTGTGTGTGTCATTGTGCCTGCTTGTTCTGTCTGTCACTGTACCTGGTTGCTCTGTCACTGTGTCTGGTTGTTCTGTCTGTCACTGTTCCTGATTGTTCTGTCACTGTGCCTGGCTG
Organism: Homo sapiens; assembly: GCF_000001405.40. Lineage (NCBI taxonomy): Eukaryota > Metazoa > Chordata > Mammalia > Primates > Hominidae > Homo > Homo sapiens. The sequence continues at coordinate 87,521 of NW_025791762.1, read as the reverse complement.
CCCTGTGTATCTGTCACTGTGCCTGGCTGCCCTGTCTGTCACTGTGCCTGGCTGCCGTGTGTGTCTGTCACTGTGCCTGGCTGCCCTGTGTGTCTGTCACTGTGCCTGGTAGCCCTGTTTGTCACTGTGCCTGGCTGCCCTGTGTATCTGTCACTGTGTCTGGTTGTCCTGTCTGTCTGCCACTGTGTCTGCCTGCCCTGTCTGTCACTGTGCCTGGTTGCCCTGTCTGTCTGTCACTGTGTCTGGTTGTCCTGTCTGTCTGCCACTGTGTCTGCCTGCCCTGTCTGTCACTGTACCTGGTTGCCCCGTCTGTCTGCCACTGTGTCTGCCTGCCCTGTCTGTCACTGTGCCTGGTTGTTCTGTCTGTCACTGTACCTGGTTGCCCTGTGTGTCTGTCACTGTGCCTGGTTGCCCTGTGTGTCTGTCACTGTGCCCGGCTGCCGTGTGTGTCTGTCACTGTGCCCAGCTGCCGTGTGTGTCTGTCACTGTGCCCGGTTGCCGTGTGTGTCTGTCACTGTGCCCGGTTGCCCTGTCTGTCTGTCACTGTGCCCGGTTGCCCTGTCTGTCTGTCACTGTGCCCGGTTGCCCTGTGTGTCTGTCACTGTGCCCGGTTGCCCTGTGTGTCTGTCACTGTACCTGGTTGCCCTGTCTGTCTGTCACTGTGCCTGGTTGCCCTGTGTGTCTGTCACTATACCTGGTTGCCCTGTCTGTCTGTCACTGTGCCTAGTTGCCCTGTGTGTCTGCCACTGTGCCTGGTTGCCCTGTCTGTCACTGTGCCTGGTTTCACTGCTGTCTGTCACTGTGCCTGGTTGCCCTGTGTGTCTGTCACTGTGCCTCGTTGCCCTGTCTGTCACTGTGCCTGGTTGCCCTGCTGTCTGTCACTGTGCCTGGTTGCCCTGCTGTCTGTCACTGTACCTGGTTGCCCTGTGTGTCTGTAACTGTGCCTGGTTGTTCAGTCTGTCATTGTGCCTGTCTTGCCATGTCTGCTCCCACTCTGAGGCCAGAGAACTGCTGTGTCGCTGTGTGTGGCCCTGCTCTGCTGACTTCCCTCCTTCAGGGCAAGTGTGAGAGCAGTCTTCTCAGTGGGCTCAAGCAGACACGTCCGGCATGGTCTGGTTTGGGGTGCCCAATGTTTGTAGGAGCTGTCTGGGAGCTTCAGCTGCCCCTCCCCTGGAGACTGTGTGGTCTGGGAAGAAGCTGAGCTTGGCTAACCCACTCCCACTGGGATCAGGGGGTGCCTGGTCCCATGTGGCTCATTGTCCAGGCAAACTGGAGGGAATCCCAGGGTCAGTTTAGGAAAATCCTGCTTGTTGCACCACATTTTACACCGTGGAAAGCGAGGCACAGGGCATTGGATAATTTCCTCAAAGTTATGTGGCTTCCAATGGCAGATGTAACGCCAGGTTTTGACTCCCAAAGCAGCCATTCCCGTCTGTCCAGACTCCTCTAAGTTACTATGCAATCTTGTTGGGTTGAGTATAAGGGAGAGAGATCCTGAACCCACCCCTGGGCTGCCTCCAGAGGCCTCCAGGCCACTTGGAGTCTGGACTGACAGGTAGTCAAGGCCTTCGCCGGACGGCAGGGGAAATGGAAGGAGTGGCCTCTGTCGGGGGTCTGCTCTGGGCTGGGTGCTCTTCCGGTGCCCTCTCCCTTGGTCCTGACTGTGTTTACAGCTGGGGCTCAGACATGAGGCCACGTGTTCCGGCTCTCACAGTGAGAGGTATAGGCCTGGCGTGTCAGGCCCCTGCCCCAAGCGGCTTCTGTATGGGGCCTGCCTGCTGCACTTCCACTGTCTTTGGTGATTCCCAGAGAGCTTGTGGCTTCCAGAGTTTTCACATCACTTGATCTCTTGTGCTGGAGCCTGAGATTCTGCTACCCTAGTCTGCCTGGGTCACCTCGCACCACCCACCATGGCTGTAAGAAAACCAGGGAGCCCACCTTACTCTCTGCCTTGCACCCCATGACCAGTGTCCCTGTGCAGCCTCCACATGCGCCCTGCTGTCCTGTGACTGGCCTCTGGTAGTTTGGGGCCGTAGCCTCAGCTGGCCTTGGCACCATGGGGAACGGAGGTCTGGCTGCAGGAACAGAGCCATGGGCCAGCTCGTCCCCTGCTGCAGCCTGCCCTTGGCACAGAGGGGGGTAAATGCCCACAGAGTGAGCTGGAGAGCTCGAAGAAATGGACAACACACATGTATGAATCCATGTGCACACATGCCCACACGGAGACACATATACCCCTATGATCAAACCCATGCTCAGATTTCCTGCATGGCACACACCCAGACACCCACACAGCCACATGGACGTGTGGCAACAGGGGCACTGCATGGAAACGACCTTTATCCGGTACTTGATTCCTTCCCCGTGGAAATAGATCACACTTTATTTGATGAGCAACTGAACAAAACTCCACTGAACTCTGGGCACACAAGTGGACTCGGCCTTGTTTGGGAGAGACCCCAGGTGCTGCCTCGCCAAGTCTCCTCTGCGGTGTCGGGGCCTCCGCTCCTGCTCTTGCCGCCCAGCTCTCCGGACTCCTGCTGCATCCTGCCCAGCTGTGCCCCCTTCCCACCAGCACAGCCTGCGCATCCCTCAGCCCCTCCTCTGTGCCCTCACCCTGGGCCCGCCCTACATGTGTCCTGGGCTGTACTGTGCCCTTTGGAGAAGGCGCCCTGCTGTCTGTGGTGCTGTCCCTTTCCTGCAGACAGGACTGGCCTGGCTGGGGTGACTGAGCCCGGGGTAGGTCGTTGTCCCACTCTGCTTCAGTTTAACTTCCTGTAAGAAGGAGTTAGTGACCCTCCATCAGCGGGACTGACCTGAAACAATGATGTGGCGAACCTCACGTGCCCGCTAGGCCTCAGGCCTCAGGAAGGTGCTGCTCTTTGACCACAAACGTAGAGGCTGGGACAGTGCGGCCTGTCAGTGCGCCGCTCCATAGGTGAGAGGGATGATGATGTAATGCATCTGCGCTCTCTGCTCAGTCTCGCCAGGCTGAAATCAGGGTGCTGCCTGAGTTTGCGTCTGCAGGCTCTGGGGATGAATATGCTTTGAAGCTCATTCAGGTTGCCCTGCAGTCTTGGTTGCAGGGCCGAGGTCCCTGCCTCCTCCATGCTGCTCTTTGTGGGATGCTGGGCTGTCCCCTTTGCCCTGCTTCTCTCCTCCCTTGCCCTGCCCTGCCCTAGGGAGAGACCCTCTGCACACGCCCTGGGGCTCCCTTGCCCATTGGCTTCCTGCTAGGTCTGGCCGGTGGGAGGCACAGGCAGGGGTTGAGGATGGGCATTCCTTCCCTGCCCGCTTCCTGCTGGGCTCCGTTTCTTGGTGCTACTTGCCCGGACCCTCCCCGGGTGGTAAGGTAACGTGGTAAGAGGGTGGTAAGAGGCCCCCACTGTGGCTGGCCCCCCAGGGTCCACTCATGCCTCAGTGTCAGCCTTTCACTTGAGCCAACCAGGATGAATTCTGTTTCCTGTGGGGACGCTGAATGCTGGGTGTGCCCAGAGAGTGGGAGCTCCGGCAGGGAGGCTGGGGCCTGGGAAGGGGAGTGATCCTCAATGACCCGGCTGCGGTGGGGGTCAGAAAAGAAGATTGAGGTCTTCTCAGCTTCCCCTGTATTCCAGGCACAGCAATGGGGCATGACAGACATCCCCGAGTTATCCTCACACTGGCCCCTATGCTTTTTCTGGATGGGGCAGGAGGCTATGAGAAGCTGGTGACTGCCCAGGCAGTACCATGGAGGCCAGGTCTGTCCACCGCAGACCCCAGCCATGCCGCGTGCTGTCCAGGGGAGGGCTGGGTGATGGCCAGAGACCACAACTTGCTGCAAGGTGTGGACAAGTGACACCCTGTTCTGATTCCAGTTGCCACGACTTACTGCAAGGTTGGACAAGGGGCACCCTGTTCGGATTCCAGTTGCCTCGCTGGCAGAGGGAAGACAGATCCCACTGTGGGAGACCCCTCTGCTTGAACACTTCCAGTGGGACTCCCTCTGCTCCTGGGGATACTGGTCCATCTCCTGCAGGGATTCTCCCACCGCCTTACTTGTTAGGATTGGTCCTGCCACAGAGCAAGCCCAGTCCCTTCTTTCCTGGCCCTTCAGATCTTCCTGGGGGCAGAACCCAGCCCAGCACAACAAGTGGGGCCTTCGGGGCTTCCTTCCCAGTCCTCTCAGGACCTGTGAGTACAGGGCCCCAGCCAGGGCTCCAGCCCATGCCACACTTCCTCCCAGTGCTCAGCTACAGGGTCCTGACTGACCTCATGCCTTGGATCCAAGGCACCCTGTAGGGGGGTGCTTCTCACTCAATGGACAGACAGACACCACATGCGGGCAAAGGGAACATAAGGTGACCCCAGCGTCAGTGCAGGGGTGGGGCCGCACATGCCATGCACAGCCCAGGACCTGCCCTGTGGAGTTGGAGTTTCCTTCCAACCAAAGGAAGGAGGGTATATGTGGTCTGGGATTCCCGGGCAATTGAGGGGGCCTGCCTCAGCGGTGGCATCAGGACGGGGCGTCTCCAGTGGGCATCTCCACAGGGCCAGGCCTGGGACAGCCATGGCTTCCCATTGCTTGCCTGAGGCACATTAAACAGGCCCTGGCAAGGCCACAGGCTCCTGCCTCCCCAGGTTTCTTGTTTCTCTTCATCTTTGCATGAGGTTTGTTTGCATGTGTTTGGCTGTGATAACTGAGACTGAGATCACACCTGAGGGAGGACTTCAGGGGGCAGGAGAGGCCCCCTTCCTGAGCAGTGCCTGTGTCACCTGGGGCCAGGAGCCCCTGAGACTGAGACCTCTCCATCCCACGGCAGCACTGCCTCCTCTGTCCCTGGCCACCTGTCCCTGCCCACCATGCGATGAGTTGTGATGATGAGCATTAGAGACAGAAAGAAGCTACGCTGGATCCAGAGATTATGACATGGTGATGGGAGAGGGGATTTTTGCCTTTGTAATCCTTAGATCATACCCCTTTGGTCAAGGCATAGGACTCCCAGTTTGTCCCTGTGGTGCTGGTGGGCCTCAGTGGCACAGGTGGGCTTGGGGTGCCTCTGAGCTGGAAAGACGTCACCCCCATGGGGGGTCCCAAGGCCCCGTGGGTCCAGACCTGCTATGGTATCCAAGGAGTGAAAGCTGAGGAGCTGAGCAGTTGGTCTGGTGGGGCCCTGTGGACTGTGCCACCTACAACACCCCTCAGGGGTCTCGCCTGTCACTCCTGGAAAGGCCTTACCCTGCTGCACAATTCACAGAGCGTCAGACAATGCCTGTGGGCCTGGTCTCAGGAGCCGGAGAAGGATTCTCTGTGCGGAACTTGCAGGCTGTGCCTTAGGGGTCCCCAGACTGGCAGGAGGGCAGTCAGGGCTCTGAGCCTTCCACGCCCACGTCATCCAGGCCCGTGCTGCTTTCACCTGTTTGATATGGGGTGTTTCCTTTTCAGACTTCATTTGGAAAAGGAGTCCACAGCTAAAAGCACCTGGGAACACTGTGGACCCCGGGAAGGCTGTAGCCTGCTTTTTGGCATGGTGTCCCTTCTCCTGGCCACACTCCATGTGCCTCCTGGGCCACGTTGCCCTGAGGGCAAGAATCTGAAGCTCAGCATCTCGGGCTCTGGCTGGCCCAGGCTGGAGTTCCCGCTTCTCCGCCATCTCTCACCCTTCCTGTCCTGCAACCCCACAGTGGAGTGGGCTTTGGGAGGACCCTCATGGGGTGGGGGTGGACAGTGGGGAGGGGATTTGAACATTGTAGAGAACCCTTCTTTGGAGGAACTTTGAGGCCCCATCTGTGGAAAAATGTGGAAAAAGTTGTTTAATGAGTTTAATAATCATATCAGAATCATTTTTCTGTGTAACCAAAACCGTCTGCATCCAGAGCTTACTGTAAAATATAGGTATCAGGAGGCAGGGCTTTTTATATTTGTGAATATTTCTGTATCACCTTGTGACAACCTCATAAATATTGTTGAAGGATGGCGGCTTGCCTCTGAAAATCCTTTCCACTGTGGCAAATGGTCCTGCCCTGGACAAGTACAGACAGCCAGGGTGGAGCGTGAGCAGGCCGAGGGGCCAAGGCTAGCCGTGGGGAGGGGCTCGCTGAGCCTGGTGGGGGTTGCGGAGGGCCAGGCTGAGCTCTGGAGATGGGTGGTCAAGCTTCATCTGGCTGCTGCGAGGCTCCCCCAGGGCACCTCTGGCACTCCTCAGTGGGCACCGGGCCTTCACCATCTTCATCTCACAGAGGTGAGGCAGGGGCTGGAGGTGGCTGGGTATCAGGCCGGGTGACCCCATGTGAGAGCAGCTGGGAGTTCAGCAGAGCCAGATGGCTCTGGGTGTGAGTGCTGCCCGCAGCTGGCCCTCCCCGAGGAGCAGAGAGGAGGCTGCTGCTGGGCACGGCAGGTTTCCTCAAGGCACCGGGCTGCACTCAGGCTTCACTTGGGGCCATGAGGCCAAGGCGCTGAGCCACTGCTCTGAGCTGTCGCAGCTTGATCACCTGTGTGTTCCTTCTAGGGTTGCTGGAGAGCTCAAGGAGGCGGTTCCAGCCACTTGACACCGAGGGAGTAGGAGCCGCTCACCTGAACACCTGCAGCTGCTGCTGCAGCTGGGTGGTCCTGCTGCGCCCCTCTGGCCTCCTCCCTGGCCTCCCAGGTGTCCTTCGTGGTCTGACTTGGACTCCTCTGACCCTGACCCTCTTCAGGCGCCCACACTGCTCTCTGTGCATGCTTACCTGGGGTGGGGCATGGTGGTGAATGTGCTGGGGGCTGGAGCTTTACCAGTGATTTCATCCCATTTCTGCCACAAACCTGTGAAGGGGACTGTTTTCTCATTTTCCACATGAATAAATTGAGGATGAGAGAGAGGAAGGTGCTTGCCCAAAGTCACAGAATTTGAATGCATGTCCCTTTTCCCTCCAGGCTGTATAATGATTGCATCGCATTACTTGTATATTGTCCTGTGCCGTGCTGTAGTGTGCTTCCTGCTTACGTAGTGTTTTCCAGTACTGCACTGTATGCTATTACATTGCACTGTGTTGCACTGGACCATGTTGTACTCGCTGTGTTGTGCTATGTTGCACTGCACTGTATTATATTATGTTACACTGTGTTGTGTTGTACTACGTTGTACTGTGCTGTTGTGTTGCACTACATTGTACTGTGCTGTTGTGTTGCATTATACCGCATTGTATAACTGCCTCTCTTGCACACGGTAGGAGTTAGGACCTTTTTAAATTGATATAAATTGAGGTTGCATTCCATGTGTGTTAAAGTAGCATTACCAGTGACCATCTGGCTTGTTGGGTCTGAAATGAAAGACACACTTTAGGGCACATAATAAGCACAGCGTGGTGCTTTGCACTTCTCTTTGGGGGATAAAGACTCATTTTTGGGGTCTCGAAGAGGCCAGGTCCTGCCATCTCTCACACTTGCCTGGAGGCAATGAGCTCTGGTGATTAGGAGGAAGGAAAGTGACTGTCATTATTAACCTGCTAACATCCTTGCGGCTGTCCATCTCTGTCCGGGGAGGCGGGGTGGATTCATGTCCTGTGCTCAGGGAAAAGCACACACGTGATGAACAGACATGTTTGTGTTAACCTGGGCCTTGTTTGTCAAGCAACCAAGGGTAGTGATGATTTTGTGGGAGGCTCTCTCACATGCGGGGGAGAAGCTGAGTGTCCACTGGCCACTTCAAGGAGTGGCTCATGCCCTCGTGCAGATGGTGGCTCCTCTCTCTGGCTCACCCCGTTTGAGGGAGCCCCCTTTCCTAGAGGCAAAGGCCGTTGTCTTCCAAATGGATTTTGTACCCTGGCTGCTCAGCTGCCCCCCAGCATCCCCTGGTCCACCCTCTCCTCTGCCTCCCGCTCTGCCCCAAGAGTCTGTGGGGGTAAGCCCTTGGGTCAGGTCTGCCCTGGCCCCCTGGATCTGCCTCCCCCAAAATCTGCCTCCCCACTTTGCCTCCTGCCCCAGTGTGCCCCTCTCATCTCCAGCCACTGTGGTCCCTTCTCAGTCACTCATGCGGGGGCACACGCCTGCTGTCCCCCAGGCCTTTGTCCTTGCTCTGTGTCCACCAACACTTCCCACCCCTGCATTCTCTCATACTCTCTGCTCCGATCTTGGCTCAATGTCACCTTGTCAGAGAGCACCGATCTACAGATGCCTCCGTCTCTCTCCACCCTGCTCGTTTATCACCACCAGACAGGAGATGATATACTTCCTTGTTTACCAACTGTCTTTCCAGCCTGCGGGCCCCTCCTGCGGGCTCTGCCCACTGTTGCATCCCTCGGACCTACGCCAGGCACAGACAGGAGAAGGGCAGAGACAGGGAGTCCAGGGGATTCAGGAGGCTCTGGACCGGCCCATCTCAGTGTGGGACTTTGGTCCTGAGGCGTTGCAGGAACCTCCACCCTGGGGATGGCCCTGGGAAGACAGATGCATGTGGAGGCGGGGGCGCTCACCAGCCTGGGTAACCACAGTAACTATGGGCCCACTCTGGTGTCTCAGGAGTGAGGATGATGCTTAGGGAGATGCAGAACCTGCCCAAGCTCTTCCCCTCGGGCAGGCACGGGGGAGGGAAGCACAGCGTGGCAAAGCCCTGCAATGCCAGGCTCTCCTGCCGGCTGGGGCCTCCTGGTGTGACACTAGGGTCTCATTTATTTATTCAATACATGCTCACAGACAACACAGGGCCAGTGGCCGGGAATGCAAATGTAAAAATATCACTGTTGTCAGGAAGGGTGAACAGGACTTGGCAGGGCAATGACAGCAGGAGAGGAGTTGTTTCCTCTGCAGCCCAGCGCCCTGGCCAGCTCAACGCAAGGCTCCCGTGGAATGGGCAGCCTGCAAGTGACTGAGTTCATGTGAAATGAGAATTCCCTGGGAAACTGAGGAAGACCCATGTATCCAGGCAGGGGCCAGAGCGCAGGACACCCAGCAAGGCCGACCCCTGAGCCTAGCAGCAAACAGCACAGGAGAGCGGCAAACAGTGCAAGCATTGCCCTCACATGGGGACCCTGGTGTAAACTGAGGTGACCCAAAGTTTCTGACAGCTTTGAAGCAACATCTGGCCTGGATGGTCCTCTGAGGGACTCAGGGGGTTGTGGTTTTGAAAGCTAGAGTGTTTCCCTGACTCCCACCCTCAGGGGCCTGTTAGCCTTCTCTGAAAAAGCCGGGGCCTCAGGACTACCATTCACGTCTTCCCGATTCTCCTCCTCCTCTTTCCAGGTAACTCCCACTTGCTACTTGAGACTTGGGAAAGGTACCACCTCCTCCAGGAAGCCATCCCTGATTCCAGCCTGAGCCCAGGAGGTAACTCTCCTCTGGGTGTCATGGACCCTGGGCTTGCTTCTATCTTGAGCACTTGTACACCAAATAGCACAGACCTGTCTTTCTGCTAGACAAGCAGGCAGCCTCAGCATCTCAGCTCCCCTAGCTGGACCTGGTCCCTGGAGCAAGGAGGGTTGGATACACCTTCCATAGTGGAGAAAGCAGGAGGTCGCATGGAGGTGGTGGCTTTGGTCTTGCCCTCAGAAGAGTGGGGACTGGATGCAGGGATTGAAGCTGGGATGCTGTGACCAGAGTGGTCATGAAAGGACCCTCCGCTGAGGGTGGAGTCTGGGCTGGGGGCCATGGGTGAAGGCACCCAGGGAGGGGGTGGGCCGCAGAGATGGACTTTGGCCTCGGAGGGGTGGGAGAGTGTGTGGAATTGCTCCTGCCTCTTTGTTTGGAGGTGCTGGTTGCCTGATGGGGCCATTTGCTAAGGTGGGGAATGTGGAAGAAGACCATTATTTGGGGGGAAATTTTCAGCCATTCTGTCTTTTGCCTGGGAAGTTCTTCTGAGTCTCTCTCCCCTTTACCAGGTTAATTCTGTCATCTCATCCTTCAGATTTCAGTGTGGAGGTCAATTCCTCAGGGAGACCCTCCAGCTTTGCCCTTCCTGGGGGTAGATTTTTCCCCTGCCAGGTGTTCCCATGCGGGGTGCTTCCCTCTTGAAACCCAAGTCCTGCCTTTGTGCACTTGCTCCACGTCTGTCTTCTCTTGCAGATGGTGAGAGCGCTGATGACCTAGCCCAAAGGCGGCTGGAAGGTAGGAGGGTGCCTTTCTTTGAGGACTGCTTCCCAGCATCAAGGTGAGCTCACGTGGCACTGGCCCACGCTGTCTTTGCCCTGAGTTAGCATTCTCCCTGCAGACTCCCATTGTGCACCTCCTACGAGGGTCGTTACAGTGGCCTCTTAACACTCAGGGGCTGGGGGTCATGGGCCACACTCAAAGTTTGGTAAGATGTTCTGGGAATGTACCTGGATTGGTGAGAGTGGCATAGTCATAGGTAGACCCAAACAGGTGGTGCCTTAATAAAACAGAAGTTCATTTCTTGGTCACCTGGCTCTCCTGGGCTGCGGACCTGATCTGTAGGGCCGCTCTTTTCCATGGGGTCGTTCAGGGACCCATGATGATGAAGGCTCTGGCACTATGAGCATTGGCTTCCAAGGGGAAGAGTGTGCGGGAGGCTTCCAGGGCCTGTCCAAGCTCAGTCACTCACTCTCACCTGCAGGGAGGCTGGGACACAGCCTGGCTGCATGCCCAGGAGGAGTACGTGGGGAGGGATGACCGCAGTGGCCGCTTTAGAGATGTGGGGTAGGAATTGCCATTGTGTTGCTGTTTATGATGGTGCAACTTGGGAAACGACGTCACATCTAGCAGCGAACGACTGGAAGAAAGCTTCCTGGGTTTTGAGAATTTTTAAGGAAGTAGGAATATGGTATTATAAACGACTAACTGAAAAATCAGGTTACAAAACTGAATATTCCATATAATTTCACTTAAAAAATAAAGAAATGTACTGAGTTGCTCACCGTGGTTTTCTGGGTAGGAAAATTATGGAGAGCTTTTCTTTCTTTTTCATCCTTTCCTCTATTTGCTAATTTTCTGCAATGAATACAGATTTATAATCAGAAAAATGACAGAAGATTATATGCTGATTTACAAAAAGCAGGCGTGAAAGCACGTCCCCCCCTCACGTCTCTGTAATGGATCTGGTGAGTGTGTATTGATTTTTGTGTTGGGCTGATTAGGGAGCCCTGTGGCAGCCTGGAGGAACTAAGTTAGTCATCGGTGGGGCAGGCCCAGCTGCAGACACCTGGCGTCCTCCTGCACCTTACACTTCTTTGCTCTGGAAGGTCCCAAGTTTCTGCTCTGATTCCCATGGAAAGGAGAGGGTGGGCTCACCCCGCAACCCTAGGCCTCTGGGGGAGGATGAGGAGTAGGTCCTGAGGGGTTCTGATCCACCCAAGCCCCTGCCTTGGCATCCAGGCACCCTCGCTGCCCTGGGAAGGCCGTGGAGGGAGTGTGCCCCTGATGCTTTGACTCCACAGGCCAACGCCAGAACCATCTTTGCTTGTTTATTCGTTCAACCAACGAGGAGGCAGTGCCTGGGGCCGGGGGAAGCACATGGCTGGCATGGCTGAATGGACACGAGGAGGCGCTGGCTGCAAAGCCCTGGGGAAAAGTTGGCTTCGCCCCACCGGGCTGATGACAACTCCAGCTTTCTCCTGAGGAACAGGCCTGCAGAGGGCACTGCCCACCCCTCCCCCCGACTGTGGCCTGCAGCTGCTGTGATGGGAGTCCCAGCTTGTGGCACCTGGGCTTTGTGGGTGGTTTTCTGCTGGAAGCAGGTCCCACAGGTCACCAGGATGCAGAAGAATTAGGGCCCAGGGTCCAGAGAGACTGACCGGGAAGCCCAGCTCTCCAGGCGGAGGCCGCAATGGCAATGGGAGGATGTGAGTGAGTCAGGGAGCAGCCCAGGGCCGCTGTGTGGCAAGCGCTGTGCAGTGCCCAGCACCAACAAAGCACATCGCCATTGCTATTTCAGAAAGCTTCACGCGAGAGCCTGGGGGAAGAGACTGTGACTCTCCATTTTACATAAGCAGAAGCCAAGGCTTAGAGGATTTAGGTGGGAGTGAGAGGCCCAGGATTCGGGTTGCCAGGGAGCAGGTGGGTTTGGTCCCAGACTCCTGTGTCCAGTGCTCATTGCGTGGACCGTGGCCCGGGACTGGCCCTTCCACAGGAACCAGCAGAGACCTTTCCAGAGACAAGGCCCTGGTGCTGGGGCAGGTGATAGGCAGGCTCTGGGGAGAGAATGAGGGGATGGGGAGGAGGGGGCGACTGTAGCCACATCGCATGTGTCTGGTGGGTCCCAGAGGGAAGGGGCGAGGACAGATAGGAGCAGACACTGGTGCACTAGGGCAAGGACACACCAAGTTCAGCCTCAGGGAGGGAGGGCTCAGGGCAGGGACAAGGCCCACCATGTTGCCTAGTGCACAAACAGCTGCCTAGGGCTGGGCAGGGGGGGTCCTCAGTCCCCCTGACATTGTCCTTCCTCCTTAGGATTCCGGGAGTGCTCCTGTGCCTGTGTCCGGTTAGGCCCCACCCTAACCCCCAGTTACAAATCCGTGTCCAGGCCAGGGTCTGATGTCACCATGTCTGGGACATGAGCAGGCCTGTTAGTGGGGAAGGCTGGGCCCTTGAGGGCTGGCTCTGGCCATATTGTCATCGGCTTGGTTTACTCTGGGTGCGTGTGGCCACGGCAGGCTCTCACTGCAGGGATTTCTATTTCCAGCCTCGTGCTTTATTAGATTAGGGAAAACCTTGTCTCTTGGTAAAGGGTTTCCAGGACTCAGCCAGCAAGTAGGGGAATGATGGAGGGATGAGGGCAACAGCATACACTTTTTGAATGAGGCCTTCTTGGTCATTTCAAAACTGCAGCATAAGTAAGGATCTTGAAACCATGCTCCACGGATGCTTACCATGAACCAGCAGTTTCCCTGAAGTATCTCAGTTGATACCACAAATGCTCGTCTTCCTGGTGAAGGAGAAGACTTGTGAGCCCAAGCCACAGCCTGATCCTAGCTGGTCAGAGCCAATTCTTGCTGGCAGCATTGGGCACCTGTCCTGTGGCCTCTCCTCCCCTCTGCTGTCCTCACTGTGTGAGCAGAAACTCAGGCATTAGTTTGTACCACCGATGCTGGGCTGCACTTCCTCACCTAGCTCCATGCTGTGCAGGTCTTGCCCCATCCCCAGCCCCAGCCCCACTCTGGGTGGCTTGGTCAGTGCCTCTTGCATCTGGCTGGGTTAGGGTCCAGCCTGCAATCAACTCTGGCCAAGGAGACCTGGGGTGGCTGCTGGGGCTTTGAGCAAGAGAACTTAGCTCTGAGCAAGGGTCTCAAGGAAGAGGGCAGCCTCTCTGCCTCAGGGTATTTCCATGTCTAGATGTGGCCAGCTCCTACCTGACAATGCCACACTCAGCAGTGGGCACAGCCAAGAGCACATGAGGGGTGACAGTGGGAGTAGGAAGAGGTGTAGGAGGAGGGCTGTGCTCCAGCCAGCCATGGAGGCCTGGTTATAGGAGCTTACCAATGCCCTCACCCTTGCTGTTAGTGGTGAGGTTGGACTTTGCTGTGCTGTGGCTCTCTGCTGAAGTCACTCTACCCTCACCGAGACAGCCCCAGGTCTGCACTGGGTATCTTTACAGCGGAATTGATTTAAGTTTGCTTCACTCATGATGCGATACATAGTTTTTATTCCAGAATGTGGGCTCAGATGGTCCAGCAAATCCCTGTGTGGTCTTCATACAATTCCAAGTTTAAGATCCCTCTAATTATACTTGTGTATGAGGAGCTAGACATTCTGGAGAATTTCTGGATCTATAAGTCATGATTCTGGGGTCTAGAGTTGGAAAATACAGTTTAGTCTCTGTGATTAATTTTATATGTCAACTTGACTAGGCCATGGGGTGCCCAGATATTTGCTCAAACATTATTCTGGGAGGGTGATTCTGGATGAGATTAATTTGAATTCATAGACTGAATAAAGCAGATGGCCTCCCCTATGTGGGTGGATCTTGTCTAATCATTTGAGGTTCCAGATAGAACGAAAGTGTGGAGTAAGGGAGAATTCTCTCCCTCTCTGCCTGACACTGTCTTTTATTTTTATTGATACATCAGATGTACATATTTTTGGGGTGCATGTGATAGTTTGATTCATTTCTATAACCAGATAAGGGTAATTGGGCTATTCATCATCTTAAATATTTATCTTTTTTTAATGTTAAGAACATTCAAATTATCTTCTGGTTATTTTGAAATGTATAATTGATTAGTGTTAAGTATAGTCATCTTACTGATCTATTGAACACCAGGTCTCACTTCATTTATCTAAATATATATTTGCAGCCATTAATCAACCTCACTTAATCCCTGCTGCCCTCTACCATTCCTGGCCTCTGATAACTACCAATATACTTCATCTTCATGAGACCCTCCCTGTTTATTTTTTTTAGCTCCCACATATGGGTGAGAACATGTGATATTTGTCTTTCTGTGCCTGACTTAGTTCACTTAACATACTGACCTCCAGTTCCATCTATGTTGCTGCAAATGACAGGGTTTCATTATTTTTAATGACTGAATAATATTCCATTGTGTTTATATATCACATTTTCTTTACATATTCACCTATTGATGGACATTTAGGTTGATTACATGTTTTGGCTATTGTGAGTTGTGCTGCAACAAACATGGGAGTGCAGATATTGATTTCCTTTCTTTTGGATGTATACACAGTAGTGGAATTGCTGGATCATATGGTAGTTCTATTTTTAATTTTTTGAGAAATAGCCATACTGTTTACCACAGTGGCTGTACTAATTTACATTCCCACAACAGCATACGAGGGTTCTCCTTTCTCCACAACCTTGCCAGCATGCTATTTTTTGTCTTTTTGATAATAAGCCATTCTAACTGGGGTGAGATGATGTCTCATTGTGGTTTTGGTTTGCATTTCTCTGATGATTACTGACATCAAGCATTTTTTTTTCATATGTGTAGTGGCCATTAAACAAATGTCTTTTTTTGAGAAATGTCTATTTCAGATCTTTTGCCCATTTTTACTTTTTTTTTTTTTTTTACTGTTGTTGAGTAACTTATATATTCTGGTTATTAATCCATTGTCAGATGGATAGTTTGCAAATATTTTCTCCCATTCTGTAGGTTGTCTCTTCACTTTGTTAATTGTTTCTTTTGATGTACAGAGGCTTTTTAACTTGATATAATCCCATTCGTCCATTTTTGCTTTTGTTGCCTGTGTTTTTGAGCTCCAGATCAATGTCCTGGAGCATTTCTACAAAATTTTCTTTTAGTAGTTTCATAGTTTCAGGTCTCAGATGTAAGCCTTTAATCCATTTTGATTTGATTTTTGTATGTAGTGAGAGATAGGAGTCTAGTTTCATTCTTCTGCATATGGATATCCAGTTTTCCCAGCACCATTTATTGAAGAGACTGCTCTTTTCTCACTGTATGTTCTTAGGGCCTTTTTCAAAAAATGAATTGGCTGTAAATGTGTGGATTTATATAGTGGTTCTCTATTCTGTTCCATTGATTTCTGTGTCTGTTTTAATGCCACTACCATGCTGATTTGGTTACTATAGCTTTGTAGTATAATTTGAAGTCAGGTAATGTGATGCCTCCAGCTTTTTTTTTTTTTTTTTTCCCCTCAGGATTGCTGTGGCTATTCAGGGTCTTTTGTGGTTCCATATAGATTTTAGGATTATCAATATAGGATTGCTTTCTATATTTCTGTGAAGAATGCCATTGGTATTTTGATAGACATTGCATTGAATCTGTAAATTGTTTTGGGTAATATTGTTGTTTTAACAATATTAATTCTTTCAATCCATGATCATGGAATATCTTTCCACTTTTTTGTGTCCTATTCAATTTCTTTAAGCAGTGTTTTATAGTTTTTCTTGCATAGATATTTCACATTATTACATTGATCTTTTATAATTTTTAAAGTTTCACTTCCAGTTATTTCTGCTCTGATCTTTATTATTTCTTTCCTTCTACTAATTTTGGGTTTGGTTTGTTTTTGTGATTCTAGTTTCTTGAGGTGCATCATTGGGTTGCTTATTTGATGCTTGTTTACATTTTTGATGTAGGTGTTTATTGCTATACATTTCCCTCTTTGTACAGCTTTGCTGTCTCCCACAGATTTTGGTGTATTTCCATTGTGATTTGTTTTTTGGAAATTTTTCTTTTTTTTTTTTTTTTGAGACGAAGTCTCGCTCTTGTCCCCCAGGCTGGAGTGCAATGGCACAATCTCAGCTCACTGCAACCTCCACCTCCCATGTTCAAGTGATTCTCCTGCCTCAGCCTCCTGAGTAGCTGGGATTACAGGTGCCTGCCACCATGCCCAGCTAATTTTTCTATTTTTAGTAGAAACGGGGTTTCACCATGTTGGCCAGGCTTGTCCAACTCCGGACCTCAGGTGATCCGCCCTCCTCAGCCTCCCAAAGTGCTGGGATTACAGGCATGAGCCACCGCACCTGGCCCTCGGAAATTTTTTACTTTCCCTCTTGATTTCCTTGCTGACCCATTGGCCATTCAGGAGCATGTTTTTTATTTTTATGTGTTTGTGTCTTTTCCGAGGTTCCTCTGGTCATGGATTTCCAGTTTTATTCCACTGTGGTGAAAAAGATACTTGCTATGGCTGGGGTGTGATGGCACACGTCTGTAATCCCAGCTACTCAGGAGGCTGACACAGGAGAATGGCTTGAACCTGGGAAGTGAAGGTTGCAGTGAGCTGAGATCATGCCACTGCACTCCAGCCTGGGCAATAGAGCAAGACTCTGTCTCAGGAAAAAAAAAAAAGATACTTGATGTGATTTCTAGATTTTTGAATTTGTATAGATGTGTTTTCTGGGCTAAAATATGGTCCATTCTGGAAAATGTTCTATGTGTGATGAAAAGAATGTGTATTCTGCAGCAATTGGGTAAAATGTTCTATGAATGTCAGTTAGGCTTATTTGGTCTAGTGTGTAGTTTAACTCTGATGTTTCTTTGTTGATTTTCTGTCTGGATATCTGTCCATTACTGAGAGTGGGAGGCTGAAGTCCCCTACTGCTACTGTATTGCAGTCTCTCCCTTTAGATCTATTAGCATTTGGTTTATATAATTGGGTGCTTTAGTGTTAGGTGCATAGATATTTATAGTTATTATATCATCTCGATGAATTGACCCCTTTACCATTATATAGTGATCTTCTTTGTTTCTTCTTACAGCCTTTGACTTGTACTCTATTTTAACTGATACAAATGTAGCTACTCCTGCTCTTTTCTGGTTTCTACTTTTATGGATTACATTTTTCTATCCCTTCACTTCCAGTCTGTGTGTGTCTTTATAGCAGAGGGGGGTTCCTTCTATACAGCATATAGCTGGATCTTGTTTCTTTATTTGTTCAGCCATTTTGTGTCTTTTAAAAAATTTTATATTTGGAGGCTTCTCTCCAGTGTGAACTCTGCGTCTTAATTAGAGAACTGAGTCCATTTACATTCAGTGCTATCATTGATAAGTAAGGATTTACTACTGCCACTTTGCTGCTTGTTGTCTGGTTGTTTTGTAATTTCTCTCTTCCTTTCTTCCTGTCTTCCTTTTGTGACTAAGTAATTTTTCTCTGGTAGCATGTTTTAATTCATTTTTTTTTCAGTAATCTATTACATGTTTTTGCTTTGCGGTTACCATGAGGCTTACAAAACACATTTTATAGATATAAAGAGTTATTTTAAAGGGATGACAACTTATCTTAGATCACAAAAAATGGAAATTAAAAAAAACCAAAAAATCCTCTACAGTTTAACTCCCTCCTATCCATGTTTTTACTTTTGGTTGTCTTGATTTAATTATTTTTATATTGCCCATCTCTTAATGGTTGCTATTAAGCTATTATTGTTTTGATAGACTTGTCATTTAGGCTTCATACTAGATACGAGTGGATTGCACACCATAATTATAGCACTGCAGTATTCTAGGGTTCCTGAGGATTC
This sequence comes from Homo sapiens, assembly GCF_000001405.40. Taxonomy (NCBI): domain Eukaryota; kingdom Metazoa; phylum Chordata; class Mammalia; order Primates; family Hominidae; genus Homo; species Homo sapiens. Next base: position 69,678 of record NW_025791762.1, on the reverse strand, counting down.
ACTGAGAATTCCCAGGTGATGACAACAGCCCAGAGGGTGATTCCGTTTTAATTTAACTTCTCTAACACCATGTTTCCATCATCATTTCTAGGACACCTTTTCTCTGAGTTCCATCTCACAGGCTGATCTTTTAAATAGACCTCATTCCTCCAATTTCCTGCAGTCATGAAGTTAGACATTTCTGGGATTCCGTTTCCTGAAATGCAATGTTTCCTGAATGCCATTAAGGTGCTTCTCCTGGGAGTTGAACCTGCCTTTGGATGGAGCCCTTTCCTGTGGAAACACGGGTGAGTCTCTCCAAAATCTCTCATTCCCTGACATGGATTTATTTAAGTGGCCTCTGTTTTTATGAAATACATTTTTAATGGAATTGGAAGAAAATCTCTTAGGCGGTTGACAGCTCTGTTCTCTTTTGATGTCAATTTCCCCTGCCTCTGAGTTGCTGCAAATCCAACCAACTCATCAAGCTCTTTCCCCTCCCTATGGCACTGAGAAGAGGCCATCTTGGGAGGGCAGGGAGGATTCGATGCTCATGGTGATGCATGGTCATGGTCATGGTCATGGTCATGGTCATGCTGGGAGAAACCAGGTCTTGCAGTTGTGCTGTGGGTTGTCAGAAAATAGCTCTCCGGGGTGTGAAGGGGCCAAGAGATACATGGAGCCAGCTGTGGGCGATGGGCATGGCATCAGACCGAAGGTGCCCACCCATCTCTGGGGATCTTGTTGAGGTGCAGATGCTGACTCACCAGATCTGAGTGGGATCAGGGATTCTGCATTCCTGACCAGCTCCCAGGTGTGACCAGTGCTGCTGGTCTGAAGGCCCAGGACTTTGATAGGGCAGGAGAGAGAAGGACCTGCTTATGTCACCTTGGTGGCCTGTGGGAGGAGTAGGAGTACACAAACATGAGGGTGTGATAACACATGGGCTCCTATTCGCCCTTTTCACAGAAACCTCAGCGAGGCCAGTCATGAACACAAGGGGTCTATCCCACCCAAGCTGAGCCCTCCTTGGACAGGCCTTGGAATGCAGCACTCCCAAGGCTGAGCTCAGGTCATGTGCTGATGGGGACAGGACTATAGCTGACTCCAGCCCTTCAGTCCTGGAGCTTGAGGCCAACGGGGCAAAGCTGTCAAGTGTCCTGGAGGTTCCATTCATGTGGTTTTCCAATAAGTAGGGCGAGGAAAATGACCCTATCTTCCCAACTCAGTGCTCCCCCTATGCTAACCTTGTTGGGGTGCAAACAAAGGTGTACCTCTAGAGTTTGGCTTACACAAATGCAATAGCTTTTTTTTTTTAATGAAGACATTTGCAGTTAAATTATAAAAAGTTACTTGCACCAGTCATAGGGCATTCTGAAGTCAGAGAGTATGTGTGGCTGTGGGGTGGGGGTGCAGGGCAGGGCAATGATCATGCTGGGAATTTGAAGTTGGTAACCCAGGGAAAGAGGTCCAGCTATACTTCTCCTGACCTGTTCCCCAGATTGTCCACCCTTTTCCCAGGTGTCAGCCCACCTGAGACCCATCCTTCCTTCCTCTGTGTGCCCTGTCCTCCCCAGACAGGCCCCCATGCCATGGCCGATCACTGGATGCTGTGGTGGGCACAGCAGTGCATGAGGTCATTGTCTTGTGAGCCCTGTACTTTATGGATGAGGATATGGAGGCTCAGGCGGTTGGGAACTCAGCCACATCACACAGCTTGCAAATGGCACAGGTGATATCAAGCCCAGCTCTGTCTGGCACCAAAGCTCCTAAACCCAGCTGCTCTGGTCCCCACCAATCTCTCCTTCCACAGTTTCAATATTTGATAGTCTGTGCCATCTTTGGATATGTACTCAGTTTTATTCATTCTTTAAAATCATTTGCAGAGGTCCTGTTCTTTCCCATGCACCATACTCAGAACTGAGAACAGTAAAATGCTGACTGCCCTGGGATGGCTCATTGGCACACTCAAGCCCCTCTTGGCACAGGATTCCAGCAAGGCTCAGAGGAGGGGTCAGCCCTGCCAGGGGTTAGGGGGCTCAGAGGAGAGGTTAGTCCTGTCCTGGTTTAGGGAGCTCAGAGGAAGGGTCAGCCCTGTCCTGGTTCAGGGGCTTACAGGAGGGGCTAGGCCTTCCCGGGGTCAGGGGGCTCAGAGGAGGGGTCAATCCTGCCAGGGGTAAGGGTCTCAGAGGAGGGTTGGCTCTGTTTGGGGTCAGGGTGCCCAGGGGAGGGTCAGCTGTGTTTGGGGTCAGGATGCCCAGGGGAGGGTCGGCTGTGTTTGGGATGAGGGTGCTGAGGGAGGGTCGGCTGTGTTTGGGGTGAGGGTGCTGAGGGAGGGTCGGCTGTGCTTGGGGTGAGGGTGCTGAGGGAGGGTCGGCTGTGCTTGGGGTGAGGGTGCTGAGGGAGGGTCGGCTGTGCTTGGGGTGAGGGTGCTGAGGGAGGGTCGGCTGTGTTGGGGTGAGGGTGGTGAGGGAGGGTTGGCTGTGTTTGGGGTCAGGGTCAGGGAGGGTGGGCTGTTTGGGGTGAGGGTAGTGAGGGAGGGACGGCTGTGTTTGTGGTGAGGGTGCTGAGGGAGGGTCGGCTGTTTTCAATGTGGCATGGCTCTGCAGAGGAGTTTTTGTCATGCTTGTGCCAGGAAGGGCGTGATGGCAGATGGCGGCGGCGGGCCAGGGTGTGGTATATCTGCTCTTTGTGTCTAGTTTTGTCTTTTCAAGTGCTTTGAAAGCTCCCTGATATCAGGGTCTGTTTTCATTTTCCTCTGAAATTTTAGGTGCCCACAAACTAGCATGCACAAGGCATTGAGAAAACGCCCACAGAAGAGAGTGCAAACCACTGTGGTCTGAGTTATCCATTTCCCAGCTGCCCCAGGCATGAAAAATAGAAACGATATAATCATGGGGAGCAGTCACACCAGTTAGAATTTAATGAAAGCCATTCTGCCATTCTGGCAAGTGTGAAAGGAGACACATGGTGATTAGGGTGGTCACTGGGACAATCTTGCTGGAAAGTGCTTTTCTGACTTGGTTCACATCTATATAGTTTTGATGTTGTAATTCTGATTTTAGGAATCGGTTCTAAGAAGCAGTAAGAAAGCCAAACAAAGCCACAGCAGAAGCACCTGGCACTGTTTAGAATGCTGCACATCTGAGACTATCAGTGGTTGCAGAGAGGGGGCTAAGGGTCGGGCTTGATGACGGTGTGTGACCACTCATGGGACAGAGTGGTCTTTAACTGGAGGGAAAATGCTCGTGCCTTGATGTGAAGTGGGAAAAGACCAATACAAAGACATGGTGGTATCACTGCAAGCAAAAGACTGCTTACAGACAAGAGGAAAGACTGGAAGGAAACACCCAGAATGGCCAGTGGTCAGCTTTGGGACATGAGTATGACTGATTTAATGTATTCCTTTATAATTTAGAAAATGTTCTGTGGTGGGCTTTTGACAATTGTTGAATAAAGGTTGTATAACAAAAGTGAAACAACAGAATTTTGAGTGAAGGAATGAGCAAAAGCGCTGGGGCAGGGGTGTTTCTTTTCAGTTTCTACAACTGCTGTAACAAAACGCCACCAACAGCACCTGAGAACACCACATATTTACTGTTTTACAGTTTTGGAGACAGGAAATTTGAAATCAATCTGACTTGGCTAAAATTAATGTGTCAGCAGGATGCAGTGGCTATGCACTTTGGGAGGCCCAGGTGGGAAGATCGCTTAAGTCCCGTAGTTCAATACCAGCCTGGGCAACATGGTGAGACCCCCATCTCTACAAAACAGTAACAACAACAAAATTAGCTGGGTGTGTTGGTGCGCGCCTGTGGTCCCAGCTACTTGGGAAGCTGAGGTGTAAATATTGCCTGAGCCTGGGAGGTGGAAGTGGCAGTGAGCTGTGTTTGCACCTCTGCATTCCAGCCTGGGTGACACAGTATGACCCTGTCTCCCAAAAAATAAATAAATACAAAATTTAAAAAGTAGAACCAACATGCCATCAGGATGTGTTCTTTCTGGAGCCTGCGGCTTCTGGAGGCTGCCCGTACTCCTTAACGAGATGTCCCATCGCCGCAGCCTCTGCATCCACCATTACCTGTCCTTCCCCAACCCTGGCCCTTGAGATCATACTTGGCCCACCTGGATAAACCAGGATAATCCCTCATCTCAACGTCCTTAACATAATCACATTTACGAAGGCTTTCCCCACATGGTAATGTTCGGGGGATCGGGCTGTGGACATTTTTGCAGGTTTATTATTTGTCCCCTCCATGGGCCAGTTTCCTATGGGGATGTACTTCTGAGAGTGTGGTGTTGAGTGCTGGGGAGCCTGCTAGCATCTCATCATCACCCTGCAGAAATACTGCAAAGTGACTAGCAAACCCAACGGGAACACTTGCAAAGGGTAAATTGTGTTCCTGCCTGATCCTTCTCGGTGAATGCAGCACCCATGGAGACCCAGGAGGTGCTCCGTAGAGGAGGGGCCTGGGTTTCTGGGGCCCTGGGTTTTGCTGACAGTCAGCTTAGAGAATTGAGGAGGAGCAGGTTGAGTGGGCATAAGGGCATCCGAACACCTCGGGAGACAAGCTGCTTGGGTAGAGGTGTGACATTGGGCCAAGTGCTGAATGGAAGGGACCCAAAAGGCAAGGCAGAATTGCAGAAATGAAAAAAAGGAATGATGGCATCTGGACAGCGCTCTACCTTCTCCAGCAGGTTTCTTGTGAATCTTCTGTCTTCATTCACTCATTCCTTCACGCATTAGTCACATGAATGCCTGGTACCTGCCAAGCTCCTGTGACAAAGGGGCCAAGGAGGCCTCAGGCCCCGTCCCTCCTGGGCACAGCATTTCTGCCCCCGAGCTAGAGTCTACCAACCATACCACCAAGGAGACCCAGGTCGGGGCAGGTGGCCCTCGCACTGTGGAGCTGGTGCGTCCTGGGACCTGGGCTCTCTGACCGACCTCTTTAGGTCTCCAGCACCTCCTCCAGGCCCTGGGGTGCAGCGTGGGAGGGGGTGTCCACTCTGCCTCTCCCTGGAAGCTGAACCCCTACCAAGATGGGCTTCTTTCTTTCTGAACGTAATCCTTGGCTCCCCTCCTTCCATCCCTGCCTTTCCAGGACCCTTTGTCCTCTCCCACGTGCCCATCCCTCCTTTTTTCTCTCATCTTTCTCTCCACAGAGGTGACATCCTGGGGATGGAGCAGGCAGCAGCAGGGCCCCGAGCACCCTGAGGGGTCTTCCTGCTCCACAGGCTCTGGCCCCATTTCCCCCTGAGGTGCAGTGAGGGCACCTCATTTGGGAAGGAGGAGGCAGACGAAGAACATAGAGAAAGGGACCCAGGACCTGAAGTCAGGGAAGCGGCCAGTTGGGTCCCGATGAGGGACCCAGCAGATATATGGGAGGGCCAGGCTGGCGGGGAGGCTGGAGGCCTGCAGTGTCCTTGGGCTCCACGTGGCCAGGGCAGGGGCAGAGTGGGCGGCGCTGTCCACACGGGCCAGGCTGAGGCTGAGGCTGAGGCTGAGAGCGGGACGCTCTAGTGGGGCTGCAGGGAGATGCAGGCAGCTTAAGGCAGGGGTCAGCTTTTCTCCTCCAGACTACAGCTCCTAGCATCTTCCAGTCTGAACAAAGGCTTTGTTCCTTGTAGTCAGCTCACACAGGTGTGTCCCTGGAATGCAAGCTTCCTTGAGTTGCTGCCAGCACAGCAGCAGCAGGAGGAGGATGGATGTGGAGCAGGGGCATGCAGTCTGGCCCCATCAGCTTTTCTCCACACTGAGGATCCAAGATTCCTCACTCCAGGGCCTGGGCTGGATGTCACCTTGGTGCCACAGTATACTCCCAAGCCACCAGGGGAGAGGCTATGGACTGAGCTGTGTCTCCTTAAAATTCACATGCGGAAGCCCTGACTCCCAGTTTGGTGTGAGGAGTTGGGGCCTTTGGGAAGTGATTAGGTTTAGATGAGGTCCTGAGGGTGGGGCCCTCGTGATGGGATTGGCATCCTTATGAGAAGAGTCACAGAGGGCTTTTGAGAAGGCAGGCAAGAAGAGTGCTCACCAGGGTCTCACCATGGTGGCACTGATCTCACACCTCCAAAACTGTAAGAAATACGTTTCTGTTGTTTGAGCCACCTGGTCTGTGGAATTTTGTGATGGCAGCTGAGCAGATGAATACAGATTTCAGGACTAAGAAGTGAGGTGCTAACTATTGTTACAGAACCAAACTGGGGGCCACTCTCTGTGCACAATAACACCAAATACCCATACCAGGGTTTCTGCAGTGGTAGAAAGGAAGGTGTTTACTGCAGAGCACCAAGCAAGGAGGACCAGGCAGCTAAATGCTCAAGATCTGGCCTCCCCCATGTCTCACAGGCAGGGGTAAGTTGCAGGAAAGCAGAAGCTACAGGCAAAATCCTAAATCAATACACAGAGGTTACACATTGGTTTAAGCTTGAAAGGATGAGACATCTTGAATGGGGGCTCACAGATCATGGGTGGACTTAAATATCTTCTGATTTGCAATTGGTAAGGAAGAGAAGCTTTGTTTAAAATTTAGGGGGTCAGTAGAAAAATGTTAACTTGCTAGGGGGAGTGAGTTTCTCACAGCCCCTCAGGAAGAAACTTGGAACAAAGACAATAGTTAAAAACTTTCATCTTAGTTTCTCTCTCATCTGGGGTCTGTGTGCCAGTGGATCTTTAGTAGGTGGGGAGGGGGTCCTCAGCAGGCGTCCCAGCCTCTGAGAGACAGGTTAGGGACATATGTTAAGATTTTATCTTTACTTTCTATAGGGAAAGCAAACATTTCTGGAGCTTTAACTTCCTTGACTATTGTTCTTAGGCTATTATTACCTTTTTTAAACAAGGACTTAATTACCTCTGGGACTAGCCAGATGCCTGGAAATTTTTTTAAGGGACCTTGGGATTTTTCTTTATTTCATGCTTGGGGGGTACACAGGTCCCTAAAAAGAAGGGGAATCTCTACTCTACCTGACTATAACAAATACATAGATATGTGAAAGTGTCTTTGGAACTGGGTAATGGGTAGAGGCTGGAAGAGTTTTGAGGTATGTGCTAGAAATATGGACATTTAGGGTGATTCTGGTGATGTCTCAGTTGGAAATGAGGAACATGTTATTGCAAATTGGAAGAATAGTGATTCTGGTTATAACGTGGCACAGAGCTTGGCTGAACTGTGTTCTAGTGTTTTGTAGAAGACGGAGCTTGTGAGTGATGGAGTTGGATATCTAGCCAAGGAGATTTCTAAGCATAGAGCTGAAGGAGCAGCTTGGTTCCTCCTGACTGCTTATAGTAAAATGCAAAAGAAGAGAGAGGAATTGAAGAAGAAACTCTTAAACAAAAAAGAACCAGAACTTGAATATCTGAGAAGTTCTCAGTCTCTCTGTATTTCAAAAAGTGAGAAATCTTGTTCTGAAGGAAACACTACAGGTGTGGCTGTACAGCCATTTGATAAAGAAATCACGGGTGTGACTCATGGACTTCTTCAGCCATCTCAGTGGAAGCCAGGAATAGAGATGGAATTATACCAGCAGAGACGCTGCTAATTTGAACTAAAGGGGGCAGAAAAAAATAGATGAAGTGATGGAAGGCTGTCAGAATTCTTAGATCTGACTGGACCAGACCATAGAGTGATTTGGCTACGCATGTGCACTCTTCTTCAAGGAAGGGGAAGACAGAACCTGAAGGTGATTCAGAGATCACAGGGACACCACCAGTTCAGTTTGAATAGGCCAGGTGGCCTCTGACCAAAGCCTTGGCGCCACCCTGTAGAGTCTGGGAGGCATGATCCCCAAATGGCAGAGCTGCAGAGGCAGGACTGCTGTCCCAGGAGGTCTGGAGGGCAGAGAATCCAGCTGAATAAGATGATTCTTGAGCCTTAAGATCTAATGATACTTGCCTTGCTAGGTTTTGGACTTGCCTGGGACCTGTCACCCTTCCTTCTTTTCTTTTCTTCCCTTTGGGAATGGGAATGTCTATCTTCTGCCTGCCCTACTATTGTATTTTGGAAGCACATAACTTGTCTCGTTTCACAGGTTCATGGCTGAAGAGGAATTTTCCCTCAGGATCAATTGCACCTTCAGTCTCACCCATATCTGATTTAGATGACATTTAGATGAGATTTTGGACCCTGACATTGATGCTGGAACAAGCTAAGACTTTTGGGGCTATCGGGATAAAATGAATGTATTTTGAATGTGAGAAGGACCTAAAGTTTGAGAGGACAGAGGCAGAGTGTTATAGACTGAATGGGAGGGCTTTGTTCAGGAAGAGCCTTGGATTGCTGAATCCCAGGGGAAACTTCAGCTTGTTAGATGACATCAGGCCTGTGGAATCTGCATGTCCAACTGACTTGTGTGTGAGGACTGAGGAGATGGGGTGAGATCAGCTTCACCCTAGCCTTCACCCAGTGCTTGAGCTCCTCTGGAGACAGTGATGACAAGGATCAGAGCCTGCCCTGCAAGAACAGCCCCCACAGCTCTGGGTATCTTCCTGGGACCACTCAGAGGAACGAGATGTGCTAAGTGTGTCAAAGCAGTGGGGAGTGGAAGGAAGGAGGCAGTGTGGACCTTTGCTGAGCATGTCTCAGGCAGCTGCTTCCAGCAACATCGACATTGAGTCCTCACAACGGCCCTGGGAGGTACATAGGCACATCCCTGAAATGCAGAGAGTCACAGACCCAGAGAGGTCAAGCACTCATTGATCACTGAAGCTGGGTGTGGGATCAGATTGGCCAGACCCCCCTCTATCACTCTTCATGGGCTCAGAAGCTTCCATGCACACCATCACCAACCATGCCTGGAGGGCTGCCAGGTCTCCTGGAATTGTCTCTGGGAATCAGGAGGCGAGTTGTCCACAGGTCTGAGTGTGTTTTGCTGGTTGTGCACACAGGATGCTGGCTTCACCCTATGTGAACGGAGCCCCATGGGCCCTGCTGTGGGGTCAAGGGAGTATTCAGGCCTCTGAAACAAAATTCCCTCTACATAAACAAAATCTTACATTGCATATTATTGCTAAACATCACTTGGATGTCACAGCCACGGGAAAACTCAGGCACCCACACTGAGGACAAGGCTGTGTTTGAAGCAGCCTATAGGACCCCACTGAGATTTTTTTTTACATTAATTTATTATGATTAGCAACCTCTGAATGCTTCCAATCTGGGAGCACATGGTGATATTCTGTATAATTTATTTCTCCAGCCTCTGCCCTTTCAAATTTGAGAGGCGCTTGTCAACAGAACAGTAGCAGAGCCACACCCACTCTGTCCAGGTGGAGGGAAGAGCCTCCTCCCGGGGCTTCCTCCTGGGTGGGCTGGGGCTGTGCCTTGGCATGCCTACCTAGGGTCTGGCTGCCTGTTGGTCTCATCCACAGATCTCCTGGTGCCAAGGGGGCATTCAGAGGGCCTGCAGATGCCCATGTCTGTCCTACTGGCTATGCATGGTCCCAGACACCTGCCTGCTTCTACTGCTGATGACGACAGTGAGCCTTCCATGCCTAGCATCTTTAAACATTTGACCCATCACCACCTTCCTGAAAATCCTTCCCTGGACCCCCCACTGCTCTTAGGATAACCTCCTCCTTGGGCTGGCCCTGTCCCCAGGAGCATTTCCTGGGGCTGTGTTCAGCCTGTGCTCTTGCCATTCACCTCCCTACTCTAGGTGTGGTGATGTGCTCCCACATTGTGAGCTCCTTCAGGATGAGTGTGCCTGGCCTACAGACAGCCTGCCCAGAGATGGAGTGAAGTGAGATCCTTCACCCTCCACAGCCAAGGCTTAGAGGGCATGTTCAATGGAGGGCCCCATAGGAGAGATAGTTGCAAGGACAGGTGCATGGGGCCTGAGAGTGTGTTGTGACCTGAGAGGCTGCTGATCCAGGTGAGTAAGGAATGAGTGCCTACCATGGAAGGAAGTGGGGGAGGGGATGGCTGGTGGCGTGAAGCTGTGTAGCTGCCTGGTTGTGCAAAAGTCTTTATGAATTCTTTGGCTTTTCCTCCTCTAAGTTTTAGAACCAACTTGTCAAATTCCTTCAAAATCCAATTGGAATTTTGATTGTGACTTATGGAATCTATAGTTCAGTTTGGACAGGACTGACCTCTATAATAGTGAGTCTTTCTATTCATGAACTTGGTATAGTTCTCCATTTAGTTCATTATTTTATCTCACCATTTTTAGTAATTTTCTTTATATATGTCTTGAATATTATGTTTTAGGTTAATTCCTACGTACCTTATATAAACCAAAAATAAAATTCTAAGACCCCCAACCATCTAAGTGGACCCCTTGTCTTGGCCAACGGCACTCCAAAGTTAACCTGAAAAACTAGTTCAGGCCATGATGGGAATGGTGAGTTGGAGATGCCTCATTATACCCTCATCCATTTTGGAATTCAGGCCCAACTCACCAGCATTAACATTAAAACAGAGATCTTAAGATTGATAAAACAGATGCTTTTTTTTTTTTTTTTGAGATGGAGTCTTGTTCCTGTCACACAGGCTGGAGTGCAGTGGTGCCATCTCTGCTCACTGCAACCTCCACTTCCTGGGTTCAGGTAATTCTTCTTCCTCAGCCTCCTGAGTAGTTGGGATTACAGGTGTGCACCACCACACCTGGCTAAGTTTTGTATTTTTAGTAGAGACGAGGTTTCACCATGCTGGCCAGGCTGGTCTCAAACTCCTGACCTCAGATGATCCACCCGCCTTGGCCTCCCAAAGTGTTAGGATTATGGGCATGACCCACCGTGCCTGGCCAGGCTTTTAACATTTGAAAGAAACAGCTACAGTCTATTCTTTCTGAAGCCTCCTACCTGGTGGCTTCATGTGCATGATAAAACTTTGATCTCCACAACCCCTTATCACAAGACAGACATTCCTTTCTATTGATTCCAGGTCTTTAGATAATAACTCAACCAATTGCCAATCAGAAAACCTTTAAATCTGCCTATGACCCGGAAGCCCTTGCTTTGAGTTGTTCCACATTTCTGGACCGAACAGTGTACATCTTACATGTACTGATTGATGTCTTTTGTCTCTCTAAATTGTATAAAACCAAGATGTAATCCAACCACTTTGGACACATGTTCTCAGATCTCCTGAGGGCTGTGTCACAGGTCATTGGTCACTCATATTTGGCTCAGAATAAATCTCTTCGAATATTTTAGAGTCTGACTCTTCTTTGTCAACACTTACATGTTTTATCTCTAACAAATGTCATATATTTTTTAAAAATTACATTTTCTTATTGCTTAAATTTTCTCTTCTTTTTTTCCTCTGGTTTCGTCTCTTTCCTCAGTTTAGGAAATAATTTCTATTGCAGGGAGAGAAGAGAGAATTTGCTCTAGTCTTTCTCATATCTTCCAAATCTCTTGTTCCTTCCCTGAGCTTAAACTTCCAAAATGTAAAAGCCAAGAATTTAACTCCTGGTACCCGTGACAATGCTTTCCTCAGTTGTGGGGCTAACAGCCAGGCCAGAGGGTATGAGGAACCCTGGGGAGTAAAACCCCAGGCAGCCTCTGGATGGTGCCATAATCACACAGCTCACATGCGCTGGAGGGTCTGTGCCTAGGTCTACCAAACCCCGAAGCCCTCACGCTTCTCTTACTTCTTGCTGCTTCTGAGGGCTCTATGGCTGCTGGCTTCCCTATCCAGGCCAACAACTGTCTGCCTGGGACTGAACTGGCAGAAGCTCGGACTGGTTGGCCCCAACTTTCTCCATCTCTTTTCTGCCTTCTCAAGCAACTTTTGTCTGGAGTAAGAAGAGAAAAGATATAAACCCTAAACAAACCAAGTAAAACAAAAAAGTAATAAATTCTACACACTGCTAAGAGAGCTGCCTGTGTCCTTCTCAGGGAAAGGATGCTCCAGGCAGTAAGGCTTGCAAGTTCCTGGGAGCCCAGAGAGTGGACAACTGGCTGTGTGGCTTCAGTCAAGCACCTTTGTCCTCCAGAGGAAAAGGTTTGACCACGTGTTCTCATGGGCCCTTTCATTCTGCATTCTTTGTATATGAAGTGCTCAAGGAGAACTAGATTTGATCCCTTTAAAAGTAAACCCAATTAAGAACTCAGGTTAGAGGCAGAATTTTCAGATAACAATATTAACAGCTGACATTTATTGAGTACTTATTATGGGCTTGACAGTTTTATAAGTGCTTTACGTGGATGGAGACCTTTAATGCTCACAACAGCCTTGTGAGGTCATGGAGTCTTGTCACCCAGGCTGGAGTGCAGTGGTGCGACCTTGGCTCACTGCAACCTCTGCCTCCCGGGTTCAAGTGATTCTTCTGCCTCAGCCTCTGGAGTAGCTGGGATTACAGATGCCTGCCACCACGTCTGGCTAATTTTTTGTATTTTTAGTAGAAAAGGGGTTTCACCATATGGCCAGACTGGTCTCGGAACTCCTGATCTCAGGTGATCCAACCTCCTCAGCCTCCCAAAGTGCTGGGATTACAGGCGTGAGCCACCGAGCCCGGCTGAGGTCAATGTTATTATTACCATCTCATTTTATAGATAAGAAAAGAGGCTTGGAGAGGCTCTGGGATGTCCCCGCAGTCACACAGGCAGTAGGTGGGAGAGCCAGATTTGAGAAATAATATGAATTTCATATGGCTTAGACACTAGTGGGGGAAATGAACATCAACAACCAGTGATCACAGTGATCTCTAGATGCCCTTGGGAAATGCTGGCCTGGACACACCTGAGTAAGGTCTTGGTGGTGCAGAGCCTGGAAAAATGAGCACTGAGGCATTAGCACCTAGCTCAGACTCATCTGCAAGAACTGCCACTTATCAGCTGTGAGAGCTTAGGCACCTTACTTCCCCAGGGGCTGAAGACCCCTCCTGACAGAGGGGACAAACTAACCCTGCAAATATGCTGGCCTGGGCAATACCCTGGTGGACATGTTCAGTGCCTTTCCTTCCTCTTTCTTCTGTCTTCCCACATGTTCGCTGCCTAATGGTGGGGGTCTGCCCCCATCCACCATCCTGAGACTGAGGGCCACCCTGCCCACCAGCCTGAGGGTGGAGTGTGCCCTGCCCACCAGCCTGAGGGTGGAGTGTGCCCTGCCCACCAGCCTGAGGGTAGGATATGACCCTGCCTGTAGAGGGCTTCACCAGGAGTCCCAGGCCCACCCACCCTGTACCTGAGGAGTGGAAAATCAGAAACCCTATTTTTTCACGAACTGCACATGCCTCCCTCATCACCAGCACACGCGATTTGCAGGGAGAGCAGACTTTTTTTTTTCTTCCTGAGACGGGGTCTTGCTCTGTCTCCCAGGCTAGAGTGCAGAGGCATAACCACAGCTCACTGCAGCCTTGACCTCTCAGGCTGAAGCGATCCTCTCACCTCAGCCTCCCAGGTAGCTGGGACTACAGGTGCATGCTACCATGCCTTGCTAATTTTTAAATTTTTTTATAGAGACACGGTCTCACTATTTTGCCCAGGCTGGTCTCAAACTCCTGGGTTCAAGTGATCCTCCCGCCTTAGCCTCCCAAAGTGCTGGGGTTACAGGTGCAAGCCACTGTGCCTGGCTAGATTTTAGTATTTTACCCAACTGAATCTCTTTTGGATTTTACTGCTCAGCCCCAAAGCACTGCTGGAAAGGGATCAGGAAGAGAGGGGGAAAAGTTAGATTTTGTGTGTCCAAACAGGTTCTTTTTCTTTCTTTTCTTTAGAGACAAGGTCTCACTATATGAGAGCTGGTCTCAAACTCTTAGGCTTAAGTGATCCTTCTGCCTCAGCCTTCTGAGAAGCTGGTACTATAGGAACAAGCCCCCATGCCCAGCTCTCCAAACAGGTTATTCTTAAAATTAAAAACAAACAAAAGAAACCTAAAAGCAAAAAGCCAAAAGGAAGCACTCCATGAGAATGGGAGGCTTGCAGGTATTATAGGCAGAGGAAGCTGCTGTCCCTTGCAGGGCAAAGGCTGCATACAGGCAAAGGCCCACAGTGTCAGGGCTGGGGGCACCCCCTCCCCCCAGTTTCTTTGGTCTCATCTCTGCTATCTAATGTAAGCATTTTAATGTCACCTACAAAGGTACTCCTAGCACCCATTTCTCATGTTGATGTTGTTTTCCAACACTCCGAGGCTTGGGCTCTGGAGCTCCCTGTGCTGTGAGCACGTTTCTGGGGACTCGGGTGCAGGGAGCCAGGCAGGCAGAGCCCTCAGGTTGGCTTTGGGCCCTCAGGGGTGCATGTATTGGCACTTCAGTGATGTGTCTTGGTTCACCTGTCCAGGGTGCTATGAGGTGCATCTTCTGCAGGTGAGAGGCTGGCAACAGCCAGGCTTCCTTATGCCTGGAGTAAGAAGGAGAGCAGGATTTAGGCCCAGGTGCTCCTGGGTTTGGAACACATGTTGCTGTTACAAGTTCCCTTTTATAAGTGGAATCAGTTTCCTTCTCAGTCAGGTGAGCTCATGTTGCCATAGCTCCTTTACCGATAAAATGTTAAGTGGATGATGTCAAGTGTGTAAATGTTGTTAGAGGAAGAACCAATCATGCTGGGCTTCCCCAGGGCTGGAACATCCTCTCTGATGCTTCATATCATCCCGGAAAGGAACATCAGCTCTGGGTCAGGCATCAGGGCTCTGCTCTGCATGGCTGGGAGAGATGGCATCAGGTGGGGTGCAGTGAGGGAGCTGGGACCAAACTGCGGGTCTGAGGGACTGTGGGCTTCGGGAGGGCAGGAACAGAGGGAGGGAGGAACAGGCTAGTTCCAGATGGCTGGAGGCTCATCTCAGGAAAGTGGACCTCTCATGCCACTGGAGGGCCTGGACAGAGGGTTAGCTGGCTGGGCCACTTCTGTCATGACGGAGACCCAGAGAAGGGGCCATCAGGCTTGGAGAGGGAAGGTGATGTTGCTCTTGGCAGTGTCAATCATTCAGGTCGAACCAAGCCTCATGGGAGCGCTGGGGCTGCTCCTGCTGGGGATCCCAGTTTTGGATAATGATAATTAACATTCGCTGAGTGCTGCCTGTAAGCTGAGAACCCTGTACATCTCAAATAGAGCATCTCCACAATTCTCACTGTGGTTCTGAAAAATAGGTGTTATCAACCACCATGCTTGATAGACAGGGGGCAGAGAAAATTGAAATAACTTCCCCAAGGCCCGGTCACACAGTTAAAGGTGGGGAGCTGGGATTTGAACCTGGTAGTCCAACTTCAGTGCTTGTCCTGGGTGGTGCCATGTGCCTCTGTCTCCTTGGTGTCCAGATAGCACCCACAAGCCTGGGTTTTACAGTCATCACAGTCACTGGTGAGGCCCCTTGAATCTGCAACTCTAGGAGGAACAGCAACGAGCTGGAGCAGAAATGAGTGAGAAGCATCAAGGGGGATCAGTGCAGTATGGCACAAAGCACTGCCATGGGTAAGTTCTGAGCCCAGAGCCCATTTACTCACGGTGGTTGGTGGTTTCTAACACACCCCCCAATGACCCCACCTTCTCGGCCCTCATGTAATCTCCTCCCTTTGAGTGTGGGTTGGACTTAGAGACTCACATCCAGTGAATGGAATATGGCAAAATGATGGGATGTCCCTCCCAAGATTGGGTAATAAGTAGACTGTGGCTGTCTTGGGCTCTCCTGTTCTCCCTCTCCCTTCCTGATCACTGTGCTAGGGCACCAAAGTGGCTCAAAGTGTAGAGGCCCACTGCCATGGTATAAAGCTGAGGCCCTCAGTCCAGCAGTCCATGGCAGTACCCCGTGGAAGTGGTCCCTACCCTCTGCCACAGCTGAGCCTTCAGTGAGACTGATAGTGTCACTGTGATCTCATGAGGCACCTTGAACTTAAGCTGCCCAGCTAAGCCACGCCTGAACTTAAGCTGTGGTATTTTGGGATAATTATTTAGGCAGCAATAAGTAACTAATATCTTCCCTATGAAGAACCTGCCAATCTCCCTTAAATAGAGAGATCATATGATTAATCATCTTAACCAGGACAATTCTGCAAATGAAATCACACTGGGAAGACAGATGTTAACTTGGACCATTCCTGGGAAATCAGAACATGGAACAAGAGGAGTAGTTGTGGCCTGTTTGGAATTGACTTTGTCCTTGCATTGGCTCCTTGGGTTCTTTCATGCCCCACACCCTACCTGGTGGAGGTGCTGGATGCCAGCTTCCCACTGCAGGACCACCTATGTCTTAGCGTTCTTTACTTTGGCACCTGCCCCTGCGTGGCCTCTAGGGGCCCAGTCCTCATTGGAGCTCCATGCCCTCTGCACAGTGAACACTGTAGGATCTCTGTCCCCTCAGCATCATGACCTGGCCCCGCCATCTCTGCTTTCTGTGCCGTGGGCATTGTTGGCAGGAAGACCTCCATCCTGCTTGGAGTCCAAGCCAACAGTAGGTCTCCCCCTCCGGCAAACGTGGATCTGGTGGTCCTTCTGGTAAAGGTTGAGCTTATGTGGGGCAAGGAACAGAGGCTCAGGGTGGCCCCTATTCCAGGAGGGGTTTTGCAGGAATGTTGTGGGCTGGGGCTGGAACATGTTCAGGATGAGCCCCTCCCTCCATCTCTCATGGTGCCCGCTTCCTGTCCTCTTGCCTCTGAACGGCCCATGATTTCTATGACCCCCTCTACCCTGAATCTCAGAAGGAATCATCCTGATTGCTTTAGCAAATTAACCCATGCTCTGAACAGGTTTTTCTTAAAATTAAAACAAAACAAAACAAAACAAACCTAAAAGCAAAAAGCCAAAGGAAGCACCCCATGAGAATGGGAGACTTGCAGGAATTGTAGGTGGAGGAAGCTGCTGTCCCATGCAGGGCAGAGACTGCATGCAGGCAAAGGCCCACAGTGTCAGGGCTGTGTGCACCCCCCACTTCCTTTGGTCTCATCTCAGCTGTCTAATGTAAGCAAGCCCTCTCCAAGCCTGATGGCCCTTCTCTGGCCCTTTGTTGCCACAGAAAAGGCCCACTCAGCTAAGCCTCTGTTCAAGCCCTCCAGTGGCATGAGAGTCTCACGCCCTTAGGAGCTCACCATCACGGGGCCGGGGGTCAGGGGCGCTGACTTTATGGGCCACTTTTGGGGATAATGCCCACTCAGGTGCACAAAGCTGCTTCTCCTGGGCAACAAATAGCCGTGTTGCCTCCTTGAGCAGGGACTGAGGATGGGGCCCAATCAGCTGGAATGGGACACTGGTTATGGTAACACCCTTAAGGTCCCTCCAGAAGGGGCTCAACCATGTTGTGGTTGGTGAGACACTACCATTGTTGAAATATTGAATCACATTGAAATAATAAATTGTATTCAATAAGAATATAATAAGAGGCTGAAAATGAATCCACTTTAATTGGAGTTATCGCTTTAACTAATTTTTAAATAGTACCTCACCACTTAGGGACCATCAACCATAGGGACCACCCACTTATTGCAACCACATCGTGGGGGCCTCCTGTCCTGGAGCAGAGACAACACCCTTATGGTCACTTCTGATGGGGTGTGCGGTGACAGCAGTTTTTCTGGCTCTCTCACAATTCTGAGCTTTGCAGTGGCAGGAAGTAAAAATGGCTTCTCAGAGGCTTCACAGTGGTGGTCCTCTGATGTTGCCCCTTCCTTGACCACCTCGGGGAGGTGGGCAGGTGCAACCACACATGAATTGCTGCCTCGTGCCCTTCTGGTGTGACACTGGTGGTGTGATATGGCTCATCCTGACACTGCAGGGGTCACGGTCAGCCAGAAAGTACTGGCAACTGTGTTCCACCTTTGGGCTCCATCCATGGGGGCCGCTTGCAAAAGCCCCCCAGCAGCCAGTGCTCACAGCTCCCTCCTCTTGATACAAGGCCTCCTTCCTATGGGAGCGCTCACATGCTAGCAAGCTCGATGTTAATTAAGCATTAATAGGGTGGGGACCAATTGATTTCCCTGTCAGCTGCTCCAGCTCTCATTCCAAAGAAAGGCAATAGAACATGGAGTTTTGATAGATCTTTGCAAGACAGGCATACGAGCAAATGGAATTTTACTTTCTCAGTTACTAGAGCTTTTTAAATTGATTATTGACCAGGGCCCAATTCAGTTTCTTTTAAGTGTCTGTCCCAAGAGGTGAAAACTTTTCAAGGAATTTAACAGGGGCACACTTGGAACTTCTCTTGGTACACAAACTATAACAAATGGTCTTCTCTCTGTCAAGTAATTTCAAATAACTATCATAAAACCACATTGAAAAAAATTTCAAAACGCCTCAGGTAGAGAACTTCAATTCTTTCTGGAATATGATTAATAAGAGACTGAAAGATGAACCCATGTTTATTGGAGTTGTTGCTTAAATTAATTTTTAAATAGTGCCTCACCACCTAGGGAAAACTAAATCACCTTCTCAATGAAGAGACGCAAGGTAATTTGGAGTCATTAAACAGGCCATTAGGAAGTGTCTCTTGCCTATCGGTTAAAAACCACACACACACACACACACACACACACACAGACACACACACAAATTTCCAATTTAGGATGGTTCGACGTATGATGTTTTGACTTCTTACTGGTGTGATAGTGATACACACTCAATATAAACTCTACTTTGAGTACCCACACAACCATTCTCTTTTTCACTCTCA
Source organism: Homo sapiens (assembly GCF_000001405.40). Taxonomy (NCBI): domain Eukaryota; kingdom Metazoa; phylum Chordata; class Mammalia; order Primates; family Hominidae; genus Homo; species Homo sapiens. The sequence goes on along the minus strand of NW_025791762.1, from coordinate 51,163 downwards.
GTACAGTATTCAATAAATGACATGAGATATTCAACACTTAACTATAAAGTAGGATTTTGCCTAACTCTGAGCACGTTAAAAGCAGGCTACACTAAGCTATGATGTTTGGTAGGTCAAGTGTATTAAATGCATCTTTGACTATGGTATTTTCAACTTACGATGGGTTTACTGGGATGTAACCCCCATGGTAAGTCAAGGAGTATCTGTATATACACCCACAAAACTACGGAGAAACAAGGTATTTCCCAAGCCTACCTTAAAGATAAGCAACGCTATCCCGTTTCCGGGAGCCCAGGGGTCCTGCGCTGAGCAGCGGCCTTCCTTGGGCGTTCCAGCTCTTCTGGGCAGCGCCGGGCGCTCTCACACAAATGCTGCCTCCTTCAGCGCGGGTCTTACAAAGTTGTGCTGTTCTGCATGTTGTTATTTCTAGCTTGTGTTGCACATTTCAGTATTTCCCAAACAGAACATACTGACCATCACTTAATGTTTTCTACATGATTCTAATCATTGTCCATATCCATTCAACAACTTTCAGCGTTCAGGGAAGGCATTAGTGCCCGCTTCTGGGGCTGGACGACGGGGCTATCTGAGAAGAACCGGAGGCCGGGGCTACCTCGGGAGCCTCGCGGCGGGAACGGGTCCCAAGGCCTGCGGCGACAGTACCGGGAGGTAGCCCAGGCCATACACACTAGAGCCTGGCGGAGCTGCTGGCCAGGATGCCAGGGCAGCAGGTGCACGCAGGGCCCTAGCAGAGCTCCTCCAAGAGGGGGTCTTCAGAAATAACCCCTGCGAAGGAGTGGGAGGTGCTCCGGCTGCAGCCCCCCCGGGAATAACCCAATACGTCTATTGACAAAGAAGCCGGCCTACTTTGCTTAAATCCAGAATTTATCAAGCATACATGGTCACAGACCACCCCCTCCTGCTGCTCTGGTATGACATCATTACTTTTTTGAGAACTGTTGTGTTCATCATGCAGAATGCCTTCAGCCAGCCTAACCGCCAGCTTCCTCCGGGATGGGTTTTCCTCACTCTGCAGCCCAGCATGTGGGAAAGACCCTGCGCCTGCTGTGCCCGCCCCCGCGCCCGCCCCCCGACACGCGCGCCCGCCCCCCCACACGCGCGCCCGCCCCCGACACGCGCGCCCGCCCCCCCACACGCGCGCCCGCCCCACCTGGCCCTGTTCCCGCCCCCTCCCCTCCCTGCTTCGCCCTGTCCCCGCCCCCTCCCCAGGCTGTTCTGTCCACCCCTGCTCCTTCCGCTCCCGGCCCGGCCCCGCCCCCGCCCCTCTCCCCGGAAGAATGGGGGCCTCTGCTCACACCAGATTGGTCGGACGGCATCACGTGACCTCATCTCTTGGACTCGCTTGCTATTCCCGAAAAGGGGGAAAGGATTTGGGGGGGACAATCGCGGAGCCTCTCGCTGGCTTTAGGGAGAGAGGGCTGGGGTAGAGGAGAGCCCCAGGGAGCAGGCAGAGGTGGGTTGGCTAGGGCCTTGTGTGACTTGGGCTGAGAAACTTCACTTATTCCCTGGCGCTGGCAGTTGTCAAACTGGGTCTTGTAGATGCTAAGTCTCCATAGAGGTATCGTAGGTATGTTGCAAATGCTTGATTTGAATTGCTTTTTTAAAACAAACGTGTCTTAAATAATTTTTAAAGCTTAAATGATTTTAAAAGACTGCTCAAATGTGCCGTGTCTCATTTATGGTTGTTTATTCACGTGCGAGAGGAGCTGGCTCTGCTATCAACAAAAGGGCTGCTGGTTCCCTCTGGCAGTGATTTTGAAACTTTTTAAGCAGCAAAACCCCCTTCCAAACCGAGAATTCTGCGGTGCTTCAGTCATTAAGACTGATAGAAGCTATATTTATTGGGATAGAGTGATTTTATAATCTTTATTATACAATTGATAACCTAGGGAAAGAAAGATTGAGCTGCAAAGAGGGAAGGCAGAGGAGAAGGGAGATATCACCAGGCTGTAGGTGGGAAAGGGAGTGGAATGGTGGCTTAGACAGGTGCAGGCGGTGTGAAGGACTCACAGGAAGAGAGTCTTGCCTTTCCAGCTCCCAGCTGTTTTTTGCTGATGGATTGGATGTGGGGCCACAGGGTGGCAAGAGAGAAAACCAGGATGACTCCTGAGATTTTGGCTTGAGCAACTGGGCCGATTCTGGTGCCAGTTGTTGAGGTGGAGTGTGGGAAACTGAACATGCCCTCGTGTGTGTGGGGACACTTTTGGGCGGTTACAGGAGGTAGTGGTAACGAATGATAATAGCAGAACATCAGGGTAAGCCTGATAAAGAATTATAAAAATCAGGCCATCAGGGTAAACTCAACGTAACTACTGATGCAAATTGAATAGCTTCTGGCTGTTTACTAAAAACGGAATGAGGGATAGTAACTGTAGCTTTAATTCCATAACAATAGAGCTAAAAATCTACCATAGCTGTGTAGACACTTGCTGACTACCTGAATGCATTCAGGTTTTTTCTAAATAATAGAATTATCTAATCATTCTCTATTTTTTGAATTGGCATGTTCCTTTGGGTGTTGGTTTCCTTTCTGCCCCCACAAGTTTGGTGACAAGGATGGGACACCTTGAGTGAGCCTTTCCACTGGGCAAATTGGAGGATGTGTAGCCATCTTCGGTCAGACAAGAGGCCTTGTTTGCTGAAGTCTTTCTTAAACACATTGACTCATTAAGTCTATCATTTGATTGACCCTACTGTCGTAGCTTACACCAAAGAAAAATTATGGTCATGTGTAAAGCTATATCCTCTCCCTAGCTCAAATACGGGGAATTGAACCTGTAATTAGAGAACTAGAAAGAGAATCATAAAGAAAGGACATTTGCCTTGTAATAGTCTTCCTATATTACCTATGAAAAAGGAAGGGAAACTGACAAAGAAGTTTAGCTTGCTTACATATTTTTACAAAATCTGATAGAAATATATTTTTGGTATGTCTGACAGTTGTAGTACTCAACCTCTTAGCCTCCTATTGTGTGACCTAACTAATTTTAGTAATAGACTTATGTTGAGCTTTCTTTTCTATACCTTCAGCAGAGGAACCAAGGTATCTCTTTGTGTTTACCTATGAAGGCTTTCCATATTGGTGGCAATGCATCCCCCAGGGATTCAGAGATTTGCCAACTATAATCTCTAGGCATTTACAAAAGAACTTAAAGAAACTTCCCCCACCTCAGGAGTCCATATATGGATATATATGGATGATTTATTGATAGGTAACACCTCATGTGCTAACAAGATATATTAGGCCAGACATGGTGACTCATGCCTGCAAAACCAGCACTTTGGGAGGCTGAGGTGGGCAGATTGCTTGAGCTTAGAGTTCGAGACCAGCTTGGGCAACATGGTGAAACCCTATCTCTACAAAAACTTATAAAAATGAGCCAGGCCTGGTGGTGGGTGCCTGTAGTCCCAGTTACTTGAGAGGCTGAGGTGGGAGGATCACTTGAGCCTGGGAGGTGGAGGTTACAGTGAGCCGAGCTCGCACCACTGCACTCTAGTATGGGTGACAGAGTGAGACCCTGTCCCCAAAACAAAAACAAGATATATTAGCTTTACGAAAATTCTAGCTTCTAAAGGGCATAAAGCTCCTTTAGATAATTTCCAACATCGTTAGACCGAGGTCAAGTATTTGGAATATTTGTTATTGGCTGATGGATGGGAAATAGTTCTGTCCCCAAAGCCACCTCTTTTACAAATGAAGCAATAGCTCCATGTAGCAACAGCTCTGTCACTGCGAAGAAATAGCTCCACCCTTTTGAGGTTGGTGTGCATCGCAGGCAACGGGTCCCTGTCTCTTCTGAGAGGCAAGCCACTCATGGTGGTGCTACATGAAGCATCGCTAGGTGCATTTTTGCAATAGCTAGGAGAAGCTAAAAAAGCCTTCAGATCCTTAAGTAGCCATTGTTTTCCTGCCTGTACTTGGAGTCAGTTCCTAGCTGGTCATCTCTTCTCCCTTTTCTGTAAGGAGAGCAAGGGTGCTGTTAGTGATGGGTATGCTTCCTCAAACACTAGCCTTTGGTTGGCTTTCATGTACCACTGGATTCTGTTGCTCCAGGGATGCCAGGCTGTTTAGAAGTCATTCCAACATTGGGTCTCTGCTTGGGAAGGTGCAGGCCTTGGCTCGGGGATGTAATTGTTTGGGCCTTGTGCTGTTGCTGCTGCTTTGTTTTTTTTGTTTTTGTTTTTTTTTGTGTGTTTTTTTTTGTTTTTTTGTGTGTGTGTTTTTTTGTTTTTTTTTTTGAGACAGAGTCTAACTGTTGCCCAGGCTGGAGTACAATGGCGCTTACTGCAACCTCCACCTCCCGGGTTCAAGCGATTCTTCTGCCTTAGCCTCCCAAGCTAGGATTACAGGTGTGCACCATCATGCCCGGCTAATTTTTGTATTTGTAGTAGAGACAGGGTTTCACCACGTTGGTCAGGCTGGTCTTGAACTCCTGACCTCAAGTGATCCACCCACCTTGGCCTCCCAAAGTGCTGGGATTACAGGTGTGAGCCACCACACCTGGCCTGTTGCTGCTGCTTTTTGAAGTTCCTATGACACAGCACTTGTCAGTGCTCTGTAAGCGTTACTGGCTGACCCTAGTGGGATTCTAGGAAGGTGTGAACTTTGAGCCCAGTGACTCTGTTGCCAGATCCTGACTGGACAGCAGCACAACCACCTCGCAGCCCTCAATGAAGATGCATGGCCTCCATCTGATTCATCATATAGTCTTATTCCCATGTTAACTTAATAGCATTCATTGATGGGTCTTATGTGAGAGACACAGGAGGAGACAGAAAAGCACCCAATATAGAAGTCAGTTCTCATGGGATTCTAGAGGCTTGCATTCCCCCCACACATAAAGTCAGCCCAAGCAATGGAACTCAGCTTTTATGTGAGCTGTAACAGTCACCACTGGTCTTAATATGTGTATCTATACCAGTAGTAAATGTGCGTTTGGGGTCTGTCATGCTGTGGGACAAATTAAAAAATAGAGGCTTTGCAATACGAATGGGAATGACAGCGTCATGGGGAAAGTAACTGCCCCTTTCTGTAGTTCATACCAGCTCTGTGGAGGCCCTGGTGGGAGGATGTGGGGAGCTTCATTAGCTGTTTTGTAGTTGCCACTCAAGTCATTTATCAGCATCCAAGCCTGGGGATTAGTGAGGCTGAATGTAGGCAGGGGCAGTGGGGACAGGAACAGATGTAGTTGGAAAAAATATTAAGGAAGCACTTGGTGCTCACTGGAAGGCAGAGTTGTCTAGGAAAGTGTCTGGGCCTCTGGGTTGGGTGATTAGGTGAGTAGCTGAGACATTCGCACATTCACTATTACTGGAAATACAGGAGGAGAGGGTGCAGATTTGCAGGACTCATCTATGGTCACGTTGAATTTAAAGTGGATGTAATAAAACATATTGATGTCATTCTGAGTGATGACAGAAATTGGATGCAAAGGAACGTCGTGAACCAGGTGCAAAAATCTTGTACCAATATAGCTCAAGAGATGAAATCTCTGAGGTGTAGGGTGTTACTTAGCTGAATGCTGTGAATAAAGATGGAACAAGTATTTTTTTAATGAGGAATTTAAAAAATGGCAGTAGCTATGCACTGACAAGTGAGGAAATAGCCAACTCTACCTGTTGACCCCAAGGTGTTCAAGATGAAGGAGAAGGCTCTCATTAACATGGCCTCACAAGAGAACCAGACTTCAGGGAGAGGAGAGCAGAAGGTGATTATATTATGGGTTAGGTGGAAGTTGTGGGGACATGAAATGGTGTCCTAAGAGGTATTTCCAGTTTTCTCTGAAGGATGATACCTTCATCTAGGCCTTCAAAGATTACTCTTTTAATAACTTCCCAAGTACAATAACTGCACATAGTCAAAGATGGTCAAGTACAAAGAAGTAAGATACCATGAATGAAAATCAGCAACACCACCCCACCTCCCAAAAAAATTAACAATGGATTCTCAAAGACTTAAATGTTGAAATAATCAGATATAGCATATAAAACAAATCTTACTATGTTTTATCAAGACAAGCTTGAAAATATTTGTGGGGAATAGGAAAGTGTATAAAGTTATATAGTAGTATTGAAAAAAAACAACAGAACTTTTAGAAGAAACCAAGGTTAAAAACTCAGGTGAAATCTCTTGACTTGCTTGTTGCTAGGATATTCTTTCTGGGAGCCCTGAGCCCATCTAACCTCCAGTTCGTCCATCAACTGATTACTGCTCAGTCACCTCAGATGATACCACTGGGAGCCAGAGAACTGCCTAGCTGTGCCCTGCCTGAATGTCTGACTCATCACTCATGGTGTAAGTGAAAGTGAATACCCAGCCACACCTGGGTAAAGACCTAGACAGAAGCCCAGGGGTCTGTTTCTCCCACCCCTGCCTCACCTCCAAAGGCACTTGCTATCTTTTTTTTGTGAGACGGAGTCTTGCTCTGTTGCCTAGGCTGGAGTGCAGTGGCGCGATCTCGGCTCACTGCATGCTCCGCCTCCTAGGTTCACACCATTCTCCTTCCTCAGCCTCCCGAGTAGCTGGGACTACAGGTGCCCACCACCATGCCCAGCTAAGTTTTTGTATTTTTAGTGGAGACAGGGTTTCACCATGTTAGCCAGGATGGTCTCAGTCTCCTGACCTCGTGATCTGCCGGCCTTGGCCTCCCAAAGTGCTGGGATTACAGGTGTGAGCCACCGTGCCCTGCCAACCTGCTATCTTCACCTTCACGATCTGTAGCACAGTGCACTCCTAAATACTGCATATGCGTCCCTAAAAAACATACTGTATCCTTAACATTTAAAACCTTATTGATTGTGAAGTGTGCCATTATCTTATGTACCAATAAGGAAAAATGATGCAATGAAACTGACACTTTCTTGATTAAAATTTTCATTTTATGCTTATTAAAAAGAATACTTATCACTTCACTTGTAACTTACTAACTCAGGCTGATGCCTCACACATACACGAAAAGAAATTAAAAATTCTTAAGCGGCTCAAACTGCCAAAAAGGCCAGCTGTGCAGCTGGACTCAGCCAGACACTCAGCAGTGGCACCAGCAGCTCCTCTATATGAGCTCCGATGAGGCTCTGGAAGTTTGAAGATGATGTTACCTATTGGCTAATGAAGTCAAATGGTCTTGACTTTCGTGGTAATTATGATGCTAAGACTGCCAGCGGTCTGTAAGAAAGCCCAGAAAGAGTGGAGCTGCACTATGGTAAGAAATTCTCAATGGCAAGCACTCTTTTTGCATAGAGAATGATACAGCAAGGGAAATGCAGACACAGACAATCTGGGTCAAAAGTGATGTGGAGAATGTGGATCCCAATTAGGAAGAGATTTTCAGACTACTTGAACCAGAATATTTTGCTTAATTTTTCTTTTTTAATGCATGCACGAGCATAATATATAATAAAATCGATGTGCGCACACATCATAAATTTTCTTTTTAATAAGCATAAAATGAAAATTCTAATCAAGAAAGTGTTTTTTCATTTAACTGCATCATTTTTCATTATCTGTATGTAAGATGATTGTATACTTCATATTCAATAGAGTTTAAATGTGTTAACTAAAAAAAATCACAAATTTATAAATGTTGAGAGGAGACTTTATTTCTTATAAGGGTTAGAGTCTACAAGGTGGCCATTCCTCAGGCTGGGAAGTGTAGCCTCTGGCAAAGCCCACAGACAGGCATTTTCAAAGAGGAGGGGCTGAGCTTTGTGCTGAACAGTTTGGCTGAACATACATATTCAACAGCTTACAGGAGGAGCTATGAATATTCATGAAGGTGGTCCTGATGCATGCGTATTGAACACACATGTATGTAACCTATGACCTATATCCACCCTGGGGAGGAGACTTAACATTTAAATCCATTAAAATTAAGCCCTATACATGAAAAGATCTTTTCAGGACCTGAAGGCAGCCTCTGTAAACTGGCCAGAACCAGTCTGTGGTGGTTGGTTTTCTTATCTGGAGAAAGTTATTGAAATCCATTTCTTGTCCAATCAAAGCTGTAGTTATGGCTGATGAAACAGCGGGCTTAGTTAGTCATTGTCTAATGGTGAGCTACAAATTGCTTTAACATTGTTTATCTCATGGCCAGTGCTTGTTTTGCTGCTAGAGAAAAAGAAGAACCTTATGACAGTTAGAAAATAGTTTATTCTTTAAAGCTTAGGGGTGTGGGACTTAACCCTCGCCTGACATGGCCTCGGGTCCTGTTTATAATGTGGCATCTTATTGCCACAGAGCCTGTTCTGTCAGTCATACGGCCTCTATTTTAACACGAATGCTGGTCAGTTGTTGTGTGTATACTACAAGTAAAAGGGAGGGGGGATAATGAGGCATGTCTGACCTCCCATCCTATCATGGCTGAGAACTCAGTTTTTAAGGTTTTTCTGGGGTCCTTTTGCCCAAGAGGGGGGTACATTCAGTTGGCAGGGGACTTAGGATTTTATTCGGCAGCTCACGCCTGTAATCCCAGCACTTTGGGAGGCCGAGGTGGGTGGATCATGAGGTCAAGAGATCGAGATCATCCTGGCCAATATGGTGAAACCCCATCTCTACTAAAAATACAAAAATTAGCCGGGCATGTTGGTGCATGCCTGTAGTCCCAGCTACTCGGGAAGCTGAGGCAGGAGAATCATTTGAACCCAGGAGGCAGAGGCAGTAGTGAGCCGAGATCGTGCCACTGTACTCCAGCCTGGGCGACAAAGGGAGACTCCATCTCAGAGAAAAAAAAAAAGAAAAAAAAATTTACAGATGTTATGAATACCGTACGTTGTGTAGGGATGCATATGCAGGTGAACAAATGAAACACAGCAAGGAATTGACTATGGTAAAAGTCAAGATGGTGGGCACCATGGGGGTTGAGGCAGGGGTCAGGGAGAGAACCTTGGCTTTGGCAGGCTCTAGGTCTTCACCTCGGTGTGGTTGGGCATGACTTTTACTATTATTGGGTGAATTATAAATATATGTTTTATGCACTTTTCCATGTGTGTCATTTTCATAATTAAAAAGTTTAAGGCCAGGCATGGTGGCTCACGCCTGTAATCCCAGCACTTTGGGAGTCTGAGGTTGGGGGATCACTTGAGGTCAGGAGTTTGAGACTAGCCTGGCCAACAAGGTGAAACCCTGTCTTTACTAAAAATACAAAAATTAGGCGGGCATGGTGACGGGTGCCTGTAATCCCAGCTACTCGGGAGGCTGAGGCAGGAGAATGGCAGGAACGTGGGAAGCAGAGCTTGCAGTGACCGGAGATTGCGCCACTGCACTCCAGCCTGTGTGACAGAGTGAGACTCCATCTCAAAAAAAAAAAAAAAAAAATTTGAATACATTATAAACTCAAGTTATAAACTTGGTATCCTTTGACCTTTAGGGATGACCTTTTTCCTGAAGAAACTGCTGCAGAATGAAAGCTCCAGGCGCTTGGGTGCAGCAAGTAGGCTATGCATTTCCCACCAGCAGGAATCTAGCTCCTGGCCAAGGTGAGCCACGCAGAGCAGCAGCCACGGGTATCATCCTCCCAGGAGGCAGATCCCAATTCGCGGAGAAGACCCGGCCAGCGGGAGGATGCCAGCCTCATCCTCAAGGCTGGGATTGGGACTCTTTCCAGAAGGAACGACCTCTGTGCTTGAGTTGGTTGGGGGGCGCAATGGATTCTTTAACACTGGGGAAATTCATACAGATGAAAGTGAGAGACACATGACAGTGAACTGTAAACATCAGCCAGGTCTTAGAAACGCTGGGGGAGGGACACACAAACCTTGTGAGAAGAAAAATAAGCTTTTGTGGAAGTGAGGTTTGGAGGCCAAGAGTCCTTTAAGCGTCTTAAAGGATCCACTGTGCATCCTTTGTTAGTGGTGGGTGTGCTTCCTCCAACACTAGCCTTTGGTTTACTTTTATGTGCCACTGGATTCTGTTGCTCCAGGGATACCAGGCTCTTTAGAAGCCATTCTAGCAGCTGGTCTCTGCTTGGGAATGTACAAGTGTTGGCTCTGGGACATGTAATCGCCTGTGCCTCCTGATGTGGTTTCCAAGCATCCACTGAGGTTTCTTTCACTTTGGGGGAAAAGATGAGAGGCCCTGTGCTTAAACAATTTGGAAGCAGAAATCCAAACACCAGGGACCTGAGTGCAGCAAGGGCAGGGTCCTGGGAGGGCCTCTCCAGAAACCGCTCTCCTTCTGGAGGGAGGATGGGGTCATCTTTGCTGAGCAGAAGGCAGCGATGGTTTCCTTTTAGATGCTGTGGGTGCCCCTGTCAGCAAGAACCCCAGTTGTGGCCTCAGGGGTGGGGAGGAGAGCTCTTTCAGTGTTGCCTTAGGTGTGTGTCTGTGTGTGTCCTAACCCAGTCCTTCCCACACTCCCCCACGTGCTGATCACGACGAGCACCTCTAAGGCTGGGTCTTTGCATTAGAAAGTTATTTGTTAGGGGTACAGGGGGCAAAGAAGGCACCTGGCACTCATCCTCACCTCCAACTCCCATGCTTGGGCAGGATGTCTTTGTCCCTGAGTGAGGTGACGAGCTTTGCTGGCCCCACAGTCTTACCTGCCTGGTCGGGTGAGCCAAGGGGGACCCTGTCCATGATGTCTGGGCCAAGATGTCCCTGTTGGCGACCCTGGAGGGTCCTCTGTCCTGCTGCTGCTCCTGTGGTCACGTAGGGGGTCTGCTCCTCATGGACCCACCACCCCCGTGTAGTTGTAATGCAAGTGAGGGGTTCTAATTTTGTCAGCTTTATCTTAGTGAAATAAAGGTTAATATCACAGAACCGAAAACAAAGCTTCTGCTCATTACTAGGGAGTTTCAGCTACTCCCTTTCCGCAAAACAATAAATCCAATCTTAACATTTTCAGCTTTCTCATGATTCTCACTCTCCCTTCTCAGGTGAGATAATCCTAACAATATTCTTGGAGAAATTCTATGTGTATGTGTGTGTGTGTGCGTGCATGCATGTGTGTGTAACTTTTTCCTTTGCCAGCGGGAATTAAACTTACTTGGTGAAAGAGACAGCAAGAAAACAAAAGGCAGTATTTAACATTTTAGGTGAAACAGTGGGGGTTTTAGACACGACAATGGTGATTACAGTTGATGGATAAATAGATAGCACTTTATGATCAATTACTCTGAGTATTTTAGAATATATGAATTGCCTTAGAGATATGTGCTCATGTGTATGTGTGTGTGTGTTTGTAGGTGAGTGTGTGTCAGATGTGTGTGCACATGTATGTGTATGGTTGTGTAGCCATGTGTGTATCAGCATTGGAACTGAATGACTAATATGCCAATCTGTCTTAGGTATGTTCTTTCCTTCTTCTATTATGGGCTGATTAATTAAAAACTAACCTGGTGGGCAGGTGTGGTGGCTCACGCCTGTAATCCCAGCACTTTGGGAGGCCAAGGTGAGCAGATCCCCTGAGGTCAGGGGTTCAAGACCAGCCTGGCCAACATGGTAAAGCCCTGTCTCTACTAAAAATACAAAAATTAGCCGGGCGTTGTGGTGGGTGCCTGTAGTCCCAGCTACTTGGGAGGCTAAGGCAGGAGAATTGCTTGAACCCGGGAGGTGGAGGTTGCAGTGAGCAGAGATCATGCCACTGCACTCTAGCCTGGGCAACAGAGTGAGACTCCATCTCAAAAAAAAAAAACAAAAACAAAAACCCAAAAACAAAAAACCTGGCTAGGCCGGGTGCAGTGGCTCACACCTGGAATCCCAGCACTTCGGGAAGCTGAGGCAGGTGGATCACCTGAGCTCAGGAGTTCAAGACTAGCCTAAGCTAGCACCCAGCTAGCCCTGAGAAGTAAATGAGCAGCTTGATAAGCAAGAAGGTAATAGTAGTCTAAAACAACAGGCCAAGGAAGTGGAAGTTAGAGTCAGATACTTGGTTCCCCTATAGAAACTGAACTTAACATCTTGACATACGTTCCTGAGTTGTTTTTCAGAAACCCAGACCCCCACCGAACTGATCTGTGGCACATAGACCTCTGATAAGGGGGAACTGAAGACTGAATTCTGGACTACCATCCTTTGTTCTAAATTTCTTCTTGAAGGGCCTGGAGGGAGTCACACATGTGAGCCAGAGCTAACATTCTTTCCTGATGGACCCTAAATTTATAAACAAAGCTTCTTTTCATTAACTAATTGCAAATCAGAAAATCTTTTAATCTACCTATGACCTGTAGGCCCCATCTCTACAAAAAAACAAAAAAACAAAAAAGAAGAAAGAAAAAATTAGCCAGGTGTGATAGTGCATAGCTGTAGTTGCTTGGAAGGCTTAGGTGGGAGGATAGCTTGGAAGGCTTAGGTGGGAGGATCGCTTGAGCCCAGGAGGCGGAGGTTGCAGTTAGCTGAGATTGTGTCACCATACTCTAGCCTGGGTGGAGTAGAGACTATGTCTCAAAACGCAAATGAACAAAAAACTAACCTGGCTCTAAAAATTCAATTTTTCTCTCAGTGAAAATTTTGGGATTGTGCTTCTGCATCTTTTAAGTGTGTAAGATTTTTGCTAGCTTCACCAGACACAAGAACCTAGGAGCTGCTGTAATAGGGGCTACTATTGGGAACTGGGTATTCATGAAGAGGAGGAGATGCAGTGGTATACTGGGCATTTATTAGCATAAGATAGATGCAATATTTTCTTTTATTTTTCTTTGTTTCCCCCCAGGAAATCATACGTGATGTGTAGGGAAGTGTGTGGGGCAGTGGAAGGAATGTGGACCGTTGCCTCCCTTCGCTTGTCTGGATGACCTTGGATGAGGTAACCGACCTTAGCTTCAGCCGTCTCATGGTACAATGGGGAAAGAAGCCTCATTTTCATTTTCCTGGCTGTGTGGGTTAGGAATGACGCTTCGAGGTGCGGAGCATTGACGCCGTGCTCAGGACTCTTGCACTTCACTTTGAACAGATGGGTGACTGGGTGCATGGCGTGGTTCTGAGGCCTGCTAACAGGAATGATTTATTTAGAAAGTCAGGTCTGGGGGCTGGGCACGGTGGCTCATGCCTGTAATCCCAGCACTTTGGGAGGCCGAGATGGGCGGATCATCTGAGGTCAAGAGTTCGAGACCAGCCTGGCCAACATGGTGAAACCCCATCTCTACTAAAAAAAAATATATATAAAAATTAGCTGGGCATGGTGACAGGTGCCTGTAATCCCAGCTACTTGGGCAGCTGGGACAGGAGAATCACTTGAACCTGGGAGGCAGAGGTTGCAGTGCGCTGAGATCCTGTCATTACACTCCAGCCTGGGTGACGAGTGAAACTCCATGTCAAAAAAAAAAAAAAAAGAAAGAAAAGAAAGTCAGGTCCAACTAAGTGATTCCCCGCCCCCCACCTTTTTTTTTAAAAGCAGGGTTGATGGGGAAACCTCCCTTCTGTTTCTGGAGGGGAGACCCCTGGTGCAGGGGAGCAGGCAAGTTCACACGTGTGGGGGCTGCACATACCGAAAGCGTGGGCCCATGGTTGAGAGCCAGCTCTTCCTGGGAGTTTCTTGACCTCTTGTGAAAGATGAAAAGTGGCATAAGATCTCCCTGGGGCACTTTATCAGGAGAGAGATCTTGGGCAAAAAAAATACTCCCTTTAAGAGAGTTTCTTCTCTAAATGGGAACGTGGCTTTTGAAGGCTGTGAAAGTAAAACACTTAAAATTGAAGAATGAATTCGAGGGCTATAAATGGGGCAGTTTCCACATGCTTCTATTCAGGCATATCTTTTGGTTTGGGGATTTTTTCGGCCTGATGATCTTCACTGGATTCCAGAAAAATGTTTCTAAGTGAATATTATTTAACCATTTTGTTGTACTGACTATACCTGGTAGGATAAAAGCAAGCCACACATTTTTTCATTTTCCTGGGACAGAGCAGGGACCCCATTTTAGGGCCCCCCAAGCATGGAAATAAAGGAAAATCTTGAGTTCCTTTAAGGGAAATTCCAGGTACCCAGCTAGCCCTGAGAAGTAAATGAGCAACTTGATGAGTAAAAAGATAGTAGTAGAGTAGTCTAAAACAACCGCCAGGGAAGTTAGAGTCAGATGCCTGGTTCCCTATAGAAACTAAAGATACCATCTTAACATATGTCCCAGAGTTGTTTTTCAGAAATCTGGACCCCCATCAAACAGATCTGTGGCACATAGGCCTCTGGGAAGGGGGACCTGAAGACTGAATTCTAGACCTGAATTATTTGTTCTAAATTTCTTCTTGAAGGGCCTGGAGGGAGTCACACCCACCAGCCAGAGCTAACATTCTTGTCTGATGACCTCAAATTTGTAAACAAAGCTTCTTTTTCATTAACTAATTATAAATCAGAAAATCTTTGAATTTACCTGTGACATGTAAGCCCGTTGTTTTAAGATATCCCGTCTTTTTGGGCCAAAACCAATGTGTAACTCCCATGTACTGACTTAGATTTTGCCTATCACCTTTGCTTTCGTGAGATTTACCCTTGCCTTTAGAAACCTTTTGGGCAAGCCATTGGGGAAGTCAGAATTTAAACATTCGCTGCTGGTCGTCCTGCTTTGTGCCTTGCAAATAAATGCCTTCCTTTCTGCCACGGCAGAACCCATGTGGATACCCGGTCTTACTGTGTTGGGCAAGCAGGCCCCACATCGGATCTACAACCTTCCCTCTGCCCCTTTAATGGTCTCTCTGGGTGTTTTGGGTAGACTCCAATATTTTCCCAGTCCCTCTCAGACCCATCTGGTATAACATAAAACCTTTAAACTCCTAGCTTGGCTAGTTGTCCTTCTAACATCCATCTCCCTTCTTCCTCAAGAATGGAATCCTGATTTTGTTTGGGTGTTAACGTGCCCAGACAGAAACCTCCCTTCCTCAGCCTCTGGTCCATCTGCACATTGCCAGGTGACACAGTCTGGTGATGAGTTACCATCTGATGGTTTTGGGCAAAGCTTTTGCTTTCGTGGCCTAGGCATGTTCCTTCTTTGCTTCCTTCTCTCGGTAGACAAACAAGAGGCCAGGGTATCAGCCATCTGTGGCCAAAGAATGGGGGAGTAAAACCAGGGTGAACACCCTCCTGGGACTGCCTCCTTTGGCATTTGCTGCATTTAAGATACCCTCTCCCGGATATGTGGAGACCACTGTCAGTTGGGTTTTCTTTTGCTTGCAGCTGAATGCAGTCCTTGATGACACATCTGGGGGCTGTGAGTGTTTGTGTGGGGCAGAGTGCTCCTGTGCCAACACAGCCTCAGGAAGGGCCTCTCTCAATCTGCTTCAGTGTCCCATCAGCAAGCAGGGAGGAGGTGATTGGGTCAGGAAGAGGGAGTGGCCTGGAACACCACTCACTCAGCCTGGGGGTCTCTGTGAGTGTCCTCCGTGTACTTGTCCTATTCAATCCTGATGTCCTCAGGGGCTGGAACTGTCTTGCCCTCATTCTCAATAAGCCTAGAATGAGGCTGGGCCCTGAGGAGGGGACACCTGGGAGCACACATTCAGACTGGTACTCAGGCGGTCACAGCCAGCTCGCACACAGCCAGTGGGCCAGATTGGGGCACCCCACCCACCCATGGGAGAGCACACACAGCCTAATATGCTAGGTGTCTGAGACCATGTGCATCAGTGGATCCTGAGTCTAGTAGGTGACGGGACAGGGCATTGCAGGGAGGATGCCTCATCCTCAAACACAGTGGGTCTTTCAGGTTCACTTTTTTTTTTTTTGAGACGGAGTCTCACTCTGTCTCACAGGCTGGAGTGCAGTGGCGCGATCTTGACTCGCTGCAACCTCCGCCTCCTCACCTCCTGGGTTCAAGTGATCCTTCCACCTCAGCCTCCCGACTAGCTGGGATTATAGGTATGCACCACCACGCCCAGCTAATTTTTGCAATTTTTTTAGTAGAGATGGGGTTTCGCCATGTTGGCCAGGCTGGTCTCAAACTCCTGACCTCAGGTGATCCGCCTGCCTCGGCCTCCCAAAGTGTTGGGATTACAGGTGTGAGCTACTGCGCTCAGCCAGGCTCACATTTTTGTTAGAAGTCGCATTAGGGAGTCTCCCACAGTGCAGAGAGAGAGAAGAGGGAGGAGCTAACATTTCTTGCGTAACTAGTATGTTTCCATCAGGACTTAGCATGGTCCTGCAGCCACCCAGAGAGGTGGTTACTAAAACTGCCATGGCAGAGGTAAAGCAAGGAAGAAGGGAAGTGATGCCTCCAAACCTCTGAGGGAAGAGGCTGCGCATTCCACCCACCTCCAAGAGGGAAGCCCCTGCACTTTCTGTAGCAGCGGGGATAGAGAGAAATGTAAAAGTTCCGTTTCACAGACTGGCTCATGGAGAATTCTGAGCAATTGAATTGAGTAATAAAATAAGTGTTTTAAATCTTGTTATAACTTTAAAAAAATTTAAATTCATCGAGACTTTCCTTCCCGGCTCTTCTCCTCTGAGTTCCCGACTGTGCACTTTGCGTCTTACTCAGATATGAAGGCATCTTGCTGCCTATATCTTTCCGCTTGCTCAGGCCTCAATCCTGGTAGTCACCTGGACTCCTCCTGAATTTCCCGCATGTCCTGCAGCAGTGACCCCATCTGACATGTTGTGTGGCTGGCTGTCCCCCAGTGAAATCATAGCCCTGGAGGGCAGGGTGTGTTTCTTCGTTTTCCTGCCTGGTGTGTGGAGACCCTGTGTGACCGTGGCGCAGATCAGGAGCTCGGTGAGTTTAAGAGAAAACAACGATTCCTACACTCACTGCCTTAAGTCAGAATCTTTTCTCTCTGGGCCTGCCTCTCCCATTAGCCCTGGGCTGTTCGCAGCCACAGACCCCTCTGAGCCACTTCTGTGTTTCCAGGGCTGGCCACCAGCAGGGGCTCAGGAATGTTTCTTGAACTAAGTTGAACAGATCTGAGCAGCTGGGATGTCAACAGGTGAACCTGGATGGGGGGAGATAGGTCAGGCTTGGTGCCCATCAGGCCCAGGGCCAGCACAAGTCACTTACCTGGGAGGTGAAGGAGAGGAGCAGGGAGAGCAGGCAGGGCTGCCAGCAGGGGAGCCAGCTACCCTGGTGGGAAGCTGGAAACGCTGGGCTGGTGCAGACATACCAACTGTCAGGGGCGCTGCCCTGGGGCTCCCGCCAGTGGCTGCAGGGAGGGCAGGATGGCGGTGTGGAGATGCAGAGACTGCATTGGGGTAGGGGGCGGGCTGAGCCGCTGTGTGGTGGGTCTGAGGGGTGAGTGGTCCTCTGCAGCAGCTGCTACTCACTGGGGAGGGTGCAGTCATCCTGGGGGAGGACATCCTGATTCAGGATGGGAGGGAGCAGGTAGGAGCACCCCAACAAACTGCTGGGGTCACGACTTCCATCTTGCTCATTCTTGAACTGAGGGTGAGAAGCACCAGGATGTGGCCGCCACATGAGTGTAGCACTGCGTGTGGGGCCAGGGCAGCCAGGGCTCTGTTTTAATAAGATAATTCAGTTTGGGATCTGGGTGGACCCAGATTCAAATCCTGCTTGTAACCCTTGCCAGCTGCTTAATCATAGGCAAATTACTTGGCCTCTCAGCCATGTTTTCCTTGGTGGTGAAATGGAGTCAGATAGCTCTCCAGTAGGATGGCCGTGCCCCTATATGGTAGGTGCAGGCAGGAGGCCTGGGGCATCCTAGGTTCAAGGCAGGCCACGCATGTTTGCATCCCCTCCCTCCACCAGCCCAGTGCCACCTAACCACGTGCTGTTTTTATCAGCTAAGATAAAGCTAGCTGCTATAGTAGATCAACCTCAGCTTCTCGGTGGCATGACTTAACACCTTAGAATTTAATTCCTTACTCAGGGAAGCCCAGTCCATAGAGGTGAGAAGTGGAGGGTGCTCTCTGCACTTCTCACAGACCCAGGCTGACAGAGTCCCTGCCATCCCCAAGGTCCGGTCCTGGATACCCTTGGCATTGACATGTGGCTGCAGACAGTGGAAGAGAGAGAGAGTAGAAGACCTGCCTGAGCTCACTCAGCATGCGTCAACTTCATTCCCAGTCCACGACTGGAGCGTAGTCACATGGCTGGAGCGTAGCCCTGGAGCAGTCACAGGGCTGCAAAGGCTGCCGGGAAGTGTGTTCCATACTGTGTGCCCAGAGCAAGGGAAGGGGTTTGGTGGGAGTTTGCCAGTTCCACCACAGCGCTGCTGTGACAATTGAAATCAAATGCATGAAGGGACTGGTTTTCACACAGGTCAGGTGTCATGACTGCTACAAGCTGGGTTTTCCTCCAGCTTGTACTCCTGTCCAGACAGAGCGTCTATTTTTTTTTCTATCTACTGAATCAGAGAACCTACCTTTCTCAGGTCAGAGTCCAAATTCCCAACTTGTATCAAATGAGATTTTCTTCCCAGTAATAAATAGTGGGATGTCTACAGACATTTGCAAGGTGTTCGTCGCACCTCGTGATTTCTCCCTTGGCAGGGACCTGTGGCCACTGTGTCTGGCTCAGGACACTGACAAAACACCAGGCTCAGGATTTTTTCCCCCACAATACAACTAGATCCTGACCAAGGGTTTTTGATGAAAATCAGATTTTGAAGACTGCTGTGGTTTATAAGAGCTTCCTCAAGAAGAAGACTTTGTAGACCTCACCATTTACAGATATGAGAGAGAAGTTTCCTTCTGAGTGATCTCATTCTGCTCTGATGTCCCTGGGAACACACATTGGAGCCAATATCTCCCATCTTTTCAAATTAAATTAGCTCCCTGTAGGGAGCCAGATAAAAGAATGATGGAAAGAAATGGAACAATATAGATTAGCCCATTTTTGATGCTTGGGTTAAATTTTATTAAAATGACTGTTCTGCATGGCCTAAACCATCTATTTTGAGAATGATTTGTCATTATTTCTAAAAATGTACTTATAACTCTGCCCTAAATTGTAACTAAATCTGAAAAACATACTTAAATTCTGCCGAAGTGATAACTTAATCCACATTTAAAGGACTTCCTTGGATGAAGGACACTGAAAGTTTAAACTTTGCAACCTGTCTTTTTACTACCCTTTTCTGTTCATCTTACATCAGCTTAATGGCATAAACTAGTCATAATACGGCAGGTATTTGAAGACACAAAAACCATAGTCCTGTGTTTGGAAACTATTGTTCTTCAAGAAAATATATGCCACTCTGCAAGAAGCCAGATGTCTTTCCACTGGGGCACATCTGGTTGATGGTGGCACTGCTCATGTCCTCTCTGTCCAGGTTGACCACATGCCCCAGGTGGCAGACCACATCCAGTTTTGCCTGTTGTTATAGCATCATAATAGGGCCCCCATTCACTCTCAAAAGTGTCCCCTTTTGGATCACCCTATATGGTCACCCTGCATCTGGTTGATGTGATATTAGTAAGCATAAAGTGATCTTTGAGGAAGCCTGACCACTTATCCACTGGGGGACTGGAGTCTGTGAGAAATATTGACTTTATTTTAAAAGACTTCAATACCTTCAGACACATTGATTTTTGACGACATGAATTGTATGTATAAAGAGTGTTCAGTAAGATCAGAGAGAGTAATTGAAATCACATGAATCACAGAGGCATGGAGTCTAATATGGCAAAACCACGTTCCATCCTCTCGTCTCGGACATCAGCAGCTCCACCTAATGGTTCTCTGGACCTGATGAGCCCTGAAAGCCCTCCGTTAGGTGAAGACGGAGCTCACAGCTCCGGGCCTCAGGCTGTGCCTTTCCTTATCTCTACTGCTTTTCAGGAGACGCTGACAGCCCCTCCCTGGTTAGCCTGGTGCTTTCTGCCATGCGCCTGTGACATGTCTGCAACTGCCACTGCTTGGAATCTTCAGTGGCGCCCCTGCCTTCAGTGTCCTCTGCCCAGCTCCATCAGGGTGTCTGTTTCTTTGACCTCTACCAGGAGATGTGGGGCATCTGCCGTCCAGATCCTAGGCAGGTGGAGGGATAGGCAGGTGTGGGCCCTCATTTGGGGTCGGTGGGCACTCAGAGCCAGCGTCTGCAGGTGGAACTCCAACCCCACACCCATTGGCTCTGTGACCTCACAGGCTTCATAACCTTGCTGTGCTTCAGTTCCCTAGGCTGTCAAATGTCTAATAGTTGCTACCTCCCAGGGTGTCACAAGGATTAGAGGGGTTATGACTGTGCTCAGTGTACAGGAAGGGTCACCCCCACGCCTGCCCCAAAGCCTGCCTTACTCACCCCTGGTGCCCTACGGGAGGTGCTCTCTGTTGTTCAGACAGGGACGTTTCAGTTTGGAGAGACAGACTTGCTGGGAGACAGACCTCCCTAAGGAGGTCACTAAGTGTGGCCTGGAACCCCAGGTATGGAAAGGTGTCCTGGTGCTGGGAGGAGAGAGGTCCCACAAGCCTCCAGGCTGGGTGCCTGATGCTCTCCTCTGGAGGTTTCCTCACGCATGACAACACTCCTGCTCCCAGCGCCCAGCTGGGCCTCTGAGCTTGGGAAAGGTGGACGGCTGCTGGGCTGGCAGCCCGGAACCTCATCTCCAGAGGGCACAGCTGAGTGAGGGGTGAGATTGGGTCTTCCTGCCACCCTGCAGGGCCCTGGCAGGCTCTCTCCTGCCTTTCCTTCCCTCCACCTGGGACCCCACGCCCGGCTCCCCTGACCTCTCCTCCTGTTCTCTGTGCAGTTGTTCTTGTCCAGGCTGCCTCTTACTGAGGCCTATCATGGCAACATACCAACACCAAGCGCTTTGCAGGAGGTCAGGGTCTCCCCAGCCCCTAACCCCACAAGACTGTCAGCTGCTTGAGGCAGGAATGTGCCTGTTGCCCTCACTGCCCAGCTCCCTGCCAGCACCTACCCCAGACCCTGTCAGTTGCAAGAATGGGGGACATCACCAGAGTCTCAGTCATTGTTTCTGAATATGGGGAAACAGTCCCACCTGGTATGGTTGTTATGAGAATAGTGAATCTCTCCTAAGGACCATGCCTGCAACAGGAAGGCTCACAGCAAATACCTGCTGCTACTATTACTCTCTTAGTTCATAGAGAGGCACAGTGGCCACCCGGGACCCCCCTGCCTTTCCACACTGCCTATTAATTTCCTCTTCCTATGCACCCGCTCTTCCAGTGTATGCAGCCCGCTGTGGAGGGGTGGTGGGGGGGTGGGAGACTGGGGGCATCGTGGTCTGTGCATGCCAGCTTTCCAGCTCATGTGGAGGCTTTTCTTCAGCACAAACTACCATCTCTCATAATGGAGCAGCTGCTGCGGGTATTTCTTGTTCTTTCCAAGCCCTTTGGTGGCTGTTGAGAGTGTGGTCTTGACCGGGAGTGGCATCTGAATTAGGGATAGAAACCAAGTGATTGAGTGAGGCTGACAGAAGAGTTATTTAGAAAAGTTTCAATAATTACTGCCATTTGCACAGGATTCCCACTAAAACAGGCAACTCTGAAGGCAAAGAGCTGGGAGAGTCTGCTGCAGGGGCCAGTAGGTTGTGGTGGAAAGAGCTTTGTGTGTCTGGAATTAGAAATCTGAGCTCCAGTCCTGTGCCACGAGGCAGGTCCTTCCACCTCTCCAATTCCCAGTTTCCCCCTCTGTAACCACACCCACACTGTGAGAATGAAACTACAAATGCACACACCAGCCCAGGCGCCTGGCACGGCACTGACAGGACTGGGCAGGAATCGCCATGGCAGCTTGTGTTGGCAGAGCACCTAGCAGTATCAAAGGACTGTTTCAGTACAACACTTCTTTTGACCTTTTTAAGAATCCTGTAACATATACAGAGCAGGAACTCTCATCTCTAATTTTTCAGTGAGACAGAGGTTAAGGGCATTCCGCCACAAGATCAAACATTGCAAAAAAGAAATTGGAACTTTTAATCTGACTCTCAGTCCTGTTCATTTCTTTAATTTCTTTTTTATTGAGGGGAGGTCCATATAACATAAATTTAACCATTTTACACTGAGCAATTCAATGGCATTTTGTACATTTAAAATGTTATGCAACACTACCTCTATCTAGTTCCAACATGTTTCAAGGTCATGAATATTTATCCCTATGTTTTATCCTAAGATTTGAAAAAGTGGTTTTAGCTCTTTTACTGTATTTAGGTTCATGGATCTATTCTGAGTGAATATTTGTATATGGTATGAGGTAGGGGGTCCAATTTCATTCTTTTGCATGTGGCATGTGGATATCCAGTTTTCTCAGCACCATTTGTTGAAAGACTGTCCTTTCTCTTTTGAATGTTCTTGATGCCCTTGTAGAAAAGCAATTGTCCATAGACAGTGGGTTTATTTCTGGACTCTCAGTTCTATTCTATTGGTCTGTATGTTTATTCTTATACTAGCACTACACTGTTTTGATTACTGTAGCGTTGCAGTAAGTTTTGAAAATGGCAAGCGGAGTACTCCAAGTTTCTTCTTCTTTTTCAAGATTGTTTTAGCTTTTCATGGCCTCTTAAAATTCCATGCAAATTTGAGAATTGGCTTCTCCATTTCTGAAAAACAGACCATTAACTTTGACAGGGATTGCATAGAATTTGTAGATCACTTTGAGTAGTATTGTCATCTAAACATTGTTAAGTCCTCCAATCCAGAAAGATGAGATAGTTTTCCATTTATTTAGGTCTTTTAAATTTCTTTCAGCAGTGTTTTATAGTTTTTAGTACACAAGTCTTTCATATCCTTTGTTAAATTTATTCCTGGGTATTTTATTATTTTTGATGTCATTGTAAATAGAATTGACTTCTTAATTTCCCTTACAGATTATTTATTGCTGACATATAGATACATAACTGATTTTTGCATGTTGATCTTTTACCCTGCAACTTTGTTGATTAGCTCTAGTACTTTCTGTGTAGACTGTTTGGGATTTACTATGTAGGATCATGTATTCTTTGAATAGAGATAGTTTTACCTTTTCCTCTCCAATTTGGATATTTTAAATTTCCTTGCCTAATTGCTCTGGCTGGCATCTCAAGTACAATGTTAAATAAATAGTGAAAGTAGGCATCCTTGATCTGAAGGTCCTGATCTAAGGGGGAAATCTTTTAGCTTTTTGAATATGCCTGCAGAATATGTCTCTTGGATATGCTGTTAGCTGTGAGTTTTTCATAAAAATTCTTCACCAGATTGAGAAAGTTTACTTCTATTCTTGTTTTCTGACTATTTCTTAATCATAAAAGGTATTAGATTTCATCAAATGCTCATTTCTGCATTGAGATAATTGTGTTTCCTTTTGTTCTAGAAATGCATATTACGCTGATTAATTTTCATATATTGAACCACCTTTGCATTCCCGGGATAAATCCCACTTGGCCATCATGTACAATCCTTTTCATATGTTGTTGCATTTGGATATATAGTATTTTGTTGAGGATTCTGCATCTCTATTCATTAGAAATATTGATCTGTAATTTCTTTTCTTTTTGTGTCTTTGGCTTTGGTATAAGTTAATTCTGACCTCATAGAATACATTAGGAAGTCTCCCCTCTTCTTGTATTTTTTGGAAGATTTTGACAAGAATTGCATTAATTTTTATTTAAACATTTGGTATAATTTACCAGGGAATCCATCTGGTCCTGGGCCTTTCTCTGTTGGGAGACTTTTGATACTAATTTAATCTCTTGTTATATATCTGTTTAGATTTTCTATTTCTCCTTAAATCAGTGCTATGGACAAAACTGTGTCCTTTTCCCAATTAATATATTGACCCTGAACCCCAATGTAACTGTATTTGGAAATGGGGCCTTTAAAGAGCTAATTAAGACTAAATAATGCCAAAAATGTGGTGCCCTAATCCAATATGACTGGTGTCCTTAATAAGAAGAGGAACAGACACCAGGGATGTGTGCACACAAGGAAAAGGCCATGTGGGCACACAGTGAAATGTCAGCTGTCTGGAAGCCAAGGAGAGGGGCCTCCGAAGAAGCTAAACCTGCTGACACGTTGACCTTGGGCTTCTGGCCTACAGAACTGTGAGAAAATAAGTTTCTGTTGTTTATGCCACCTAGTCTGTGGTACTTTGTTATGTCAGCCCTGGCAGGCTAAGATAGTTTTGGTAATTTGTGTGTTTCTGGGAATTTTTTTCATTTCACCTAGGTTATCTAATTTGTTGGTGTATAATTGTTTACAGTATTTTCTTATAATCCTTTAAATTTCTGTCAGGTTTGTAGTAATGTTTCCACTTTCATTTCTGATTCAGGTTTTTGCATCTTTCTCTTTTTTTCTTTGTCAGTCTAGCTAAAACTTTGTCATTTTGTTGATCTTTTCAAAGAACAATGTTTTGGTTTTGTGATTCTTCCTGTTATTTTTCTATTTTGTATTTCATAAATCTCCACTCTAATCTTCATTATTTCCTTCTTCCTGCTAGGTTTAAATTTAGTTTGCTCTTGTTTTTCTAGTTTTTTTAAGTTGTAAAGTTAGGTTATTAATGTGAGATTTTTTCTCTTGTTTTAAATGTAGGCATTGACAGCTATAAATTTTGCCCTGATTACTGCTTTTGCTATATCTCATAAATTTAGATATGTTGGGTTTTTATTTTCCTTTGTAGGAAGATATTTTCTAATTTTTTTGTGATTTCTTCTTTGACCCATTGGTTATTTAAATGTAATGTTTACATATTTGCAAATTTTTCAGTTTCCTTCTGATGTTGATTTCTAGCTTTATTCCATTGTGGTTAGAGAAGATACTTTACATAATTTTAATTTTTAAAATTTATTGAGACTTGTTTTGTGGTCTAATATATGGTCTACCCCAAAGAATGTCCCATGCACACTTGAGAAAAATGTGTATTCTGCTCTTTTTGGGGTGGAGTTTTCTATATATGTCTCTTAGGTCTAGTTGGTGTGTGATGTTGTGCAAACCCTCTATTTTCTTATTGATCTTTTGACTATATGTTCGATTCGTTGTTGAGAATGAGGTATTGAAGTCTCCAGCTATAGAACTACTTTTCCCTTTAATTTTGTCAATGTATGCTTCACATATTTGGGACTGTGTTGCTTAGTGTGTATATGTTTGTAATTGTATCTTCTGATGGTCTTTTAATTACTACATAGTGTTCTTTTTGTCTCTTGCAACAGCTTTTCTTTTTTTTTTTTAAGACAGAGTCTCACTCTGTTGCTCAAGCAGGAGTGCAGTGGTGCAATCATAGCTCACCGTGACCTCCAACTCCTGGGCTCAAGCAGTCCTCCAACTACGCCTCCCAAGTAGGTAGGACTATAGGTGTGTGCCACCATGCTTGGCTAATTAAAAAACTTTTTTTGGTAGAGGTGGGGTCTTGCTTTGTTGTTCAGTCTGCTCTTGAACTCCTGGCTTCAAGCGATCCTCCTGCCTCAGTCTCCCAAAGTGCTAGGATTACATATGTGAACCACCATGTCCAGCCTCTTGTAACAGCTTTTTTTTTTTTTTTTTTTTTTTGAGACGAAGTCTTACTCTGTTGCCCAGGCTGAAGTGCAGTGGCGCCATCTCGGCTCACTGCGAGCTCCACCTCCCGGGTTCACGCCATTCTTCTGCCTCAGCCTCCTGAATAGCTGGGACTACAGGCACCCGCCACCACGCCCGGCTAATTTTTTGTATTTTTTTAGTAGAGATGGGGTTTCACCATGTTAGCCAGATGGTCTTGATCTCCTGACCTCGTGATCCGCCTGCCTTGGCCTCCCAAAGTGCTGGGATTACAGGTGTGAGCCACCACACCCGGCCTTGTAATAGCTTTTGACTTGAAGTGTGTATTGTCTGATCTTTACATAGCTACCCCAGCTCTCTTTTGGTTACTATTTGCATGGAGTATCTTTTCTATACTTTCACTTTTTAAATATTTGAATCTAAAATATCTTAGACAATATACAGTTAGACTATGTTTAAAAGAATCCTTTCTGTTACTATTCACCATTTGATTGGAGAGTTTAAACTGCTTACATTTAAAGTAGTAACTGATAAAATGGGATTTATTTCTGCCATTTTTCTGTCTGTTTTCTCTATGTCTTATACTTTTTGTTCCTCATTTCCTCTATTACTAACTTCTTTTTAAATTTTTTTTTGGTAGTGAACCATTTTGCTGTCTCATTTCCTTTTGTGTATTTTAAAAACATATTTTCTTAATGATTACAATGAGGATTACAATGAACATCCTAAATTTATAACCATCTAGTTTCAACTGATACCAACTCAGTCTTACTAACATATGAAAACTCTGCTCCTATACAGCTCCATCCCCACCTTAAATTGTTGGTGTTGCAAATTACATCTTTATACATTGTGGGCCCATTTACATGGATTTCAATTTGGTATGCATTTATCTTTTACACTATTTAGGGAATAAAGAAGGAGTTACAAATTAAAAAAATGTAATACTGGCTTTGATGTTTAGAAACCTCTCTATTTCTTTATGTCGCTTCGTGTTACTGTTTAGTGTCCTTCCATTTCAGTGTAAAGGACTCCCTTTAGAATTTCCTGTAGGGTAGATATGCTAGTAACAAATTCACTCAGCTTTTGATGGTTGGGAATGTTTTAACTTCTTCATTTTTCAAGATTAGTTTTTCTGGTTATTTAATCTTGGTTTACAGTTTTTTTTTCTTTTCTTTGGTGGTTTAAAAATATTGTCTCACTGCTTTCTGTTCTCCATGGTTTGTGATGGGAAAATTACAGTTAATCTTATTGAGAATCTATTGTACATAATGAGTTGCTTCTGTCTTGCCACTACAAGAGTTTCTCTTTATCTTTGTCTTTGAACTGTTTGATTGTAATGTGTCTAAGTGTGGATCTCTTTGAATTTATCCTACTTGGAGTTTAATATATTTCATTAAACTTAGACAGTTTTCATTCATTATTTCATCAACAGTTCTTTCTGCCCCTTTCTTTCTGTTTTCCTTCTGGGACTTCCATACTGCATATGTTGTCCTGCTTGATAGTGTCTTGTTCTCTTTTTTTCTTCTACTCTTTATATCAGACAATTCCAATTATCCTATCATTGATTTCTCTGATTCATTTTTCGGTGTGTTCAAATCTGCTGTTTAACCCCTCTGGTGAATTTTTCTTTCTCTTTTCTTTTTCTTTTTATTTTTTTATTTTTTTGAGATGGAATCTTGCTCTGTCACCCAGGCAGGAGTGTGGTGGCATGATTTTGGCTCACTGCAACCTCTGCCTCCTGGGTTTAAGTGATTCTCCTGCCTTGGCTTCCCGAGTAGCTGGGATTACAGGTGTGCACCACCACACCAAGCTAATTTTTGTGTTATTGGTAGAGATGGGTTTCACCATATTGGCCAAGTTGGTCTTGAATTCCTGACCTCAGGTGATCCACTTGCCTCGGCTTCCCAAAATGCTAGGATTATAGGCATGAGCCACCATGCCTCGCCAAATTTTTCATTTCGGTGATTTAACTTTTCAGTTCCAGAATTTCTGTTTGGTTTATTTTATAATTTATATCTGTTTATTGATTTTCTCATTTTGTATGTGCACTGTTTTCCTGGTTTTATTTAGTTTGTTGTTCATGGTTTTCTTTAGTTCTTTAAACATTTTAGGATGATTGATATAAAAATTTTGTCCAGTAAGTCCAATACTAAGGTTTCCTCATGGATGGTTTATATAATTTTTTTCTAGGATTGGGCCACACTTTCCTATTCCTTTGTATATCTTGTGATTTTTGTTGTTGTTGCTGAAAATTGGGCATTTTGAATATTACAATGTGGTTACCCTGGAAATCAGATTATCTCCATTCCCTAGAGTTTGTTATTATTTTTTCTTCTTGATGAATGTTGTCCTCTATTTCTTTAGTGATTTCTCCAAACTAATTTTGCAAAGACTGGATTCTTTGTCATTTGTGGTCACTGAAGTCTCTGTTTCATTATCTCAGTGGTCAACAGTGACATTCCAGAGATTTCCTTAAGTATCTGGAGTGAAAGAAAAAAAGAAAGGGAGAAATAAATAAATACATGAATGAAACGAGAAAACAAGAAAGAGAGAAGATACTCGTGTTTTGACTTTTGCAGCTTGGCTCTGAGCTGGGACAGGAGTTCCTTCAGTGCTAAGCCAGGCTTCCTGCAACTATGCCTTAGCTTTTGCCTCTTGCTTGCCTGGAGCCCACAGATCTGTCAGAGGTACAAGCCTGGGGTCCTTTTAGATGTTTTCTCATATGTGTCCTGTTCTGGGCCTGTGTGTTATCTTCTATCTTTGCCAGCATACACAGTAGCCCTTCTGAGCTCTTATTCTTCCAACAACCTTCCTTTTTGGGCTCCTTCTTTTTGGCTTTTGGTCTGCCAGTTGCCTGAGCACAGTTCCCTACACCAGGTGGAAAGAAAAGGTCAAGAAAAAGGTCAATTTAGTCTTCCAGGGAACCATCAGACAGATGAATACACAGTACCATAAAACTTTAAGAATAAACTCTGTATTAACCCCTGGCACCAGAAAGCCACACAGGGAATGCAGCCTTCTGTCATCATGGCTGATGCTGCTGTGCTAGGGAATGGAAGGAAGGTGGATGAGCAAAAATGCCACTAGGCTTTCTTACCAAAGCTAGCTTCCCTTTTCTTTATTAAGCCACCCCTTTGTGGCTGTACATTTGAGATTAGAGCTCAGTGTTTAAAAACGTTGATTATTTCAGTCTTTGACAGCTTATGATTGTTTCAACGGAGGGATCAATTCTTTAAGCAATGTATACCATCATTTTCTGTGACATCATCCCTGGTTGCCTCTTGATGAAAACATTATTCCTTTCTTGCCAGACATGTATTCAAATTAATATTGTTGCTAGATCTTGTGTGGCACAATCAAGATGCCCAATAGTCTTTTGAGGATGTGTAAAAAGAGTTTGTGAAGTCCTCCTCACTTATTTGTAGTTTGCATCTTGGTTAGTGCTAAATAAATGGTGCTCCTGAAGTCCCTGAAGCTGATCTTCACTCATGCACCGTTTAAGCATTCATTCATAGCATTAATTTGTCAAATGCTTTTGAAGGATCAACACTTTTTTTTCAGAAAGAGCAGGTAATGATATGACTCTTTTTATAAAAAATGCACTTTTCAACACCTTTGCCCACTCTTGGTAGGTTTACTCATCCACCTGTACTTGACCATAAGTTACTCAAGTCTTACTGTCGCAGCTTCCAGGCCTGCATAAGCCACGTTAAAAACTGAACTGTTTTGCTTGAAGTAAGGGTGAAGCTTGGAGCCCCCATGCTTGCTTCTTGCTCCTTTCCTGCATGCTTCTGTGGAACCACCTTAGTACAGTTTATTTGAAGATGTAATAGAACTAGACTGCAATATTATACTCCACCAGAAGATGTCACTGTAACATGTGGTTTATACATGCTGAATATATGGTAACGGAATAATGGCGAACCTTCCATTTTCTCAGTGAATCAAAAAGAGAAAGAAAAACGTAGTTTTGGCCAACTTATATATAAAAACTTTGAAGGTGAGAAAGAGATAGTCAATATCTACTCATAATGTTTAATTAACTCATTTAGTTACATATACATATTTGAAATAATATATAGAATCATTAATTTGTAAATATCACTTTATTTTCATTCATATTTCATGGAACAACTTTATGAAAGTTCCTTACATGCTTATCTTTCATAAGTGTCTTTATTGTCACTAGAGACACTTAAAAACCTTTTATTTGAAAATACTTTCAAACTTACAGGAAAGTTGCAAGAATAAGAATAGAACATGGAATATTCATATACTCTTTTCCCACATTCACCTTTTATTAACATTTTGTTCATTTGCTTTATCTTGTTTTCTCTTTCCCTGTCTCTGTGCTATATATCTATATCTATATCTATATCTATCTATATCTATATATCCATTTAGTTATCACTAAATACGTTGGTAAGTATTTCCTAAGAAAAAGCATTCTCACACACTCTTTGGTTCAAATAACAACTTCAGGCCGGGCACAGTGGCTCACACCTGTAATCCCAGCACTTTGGGAGGCCGAGGCGGGTGGATCGCCTGAGGTCAGGAGTTCGAGACCAGCCTGGTCAGCATGGTTAAACCCTCGTCTCTACTAAAACTACAAAAATTAGCCAGGCGGGATGGTGTGTGCCTGTAATCCCAGCTACTTGGGAGGCTGAAGCAGGAGAATCGCTTGAACCCGGGAGGTGGAGGTTGCAGTGAGCTGAGGTCGAGCCATTATACTCCAGCCTGGGTGACAGAGCGAGACTCCCTCTCAAACAGACAAACAAATGAACAAGCAAATAACAACTTCAGTAACTTTTTTTCTAATCTGTTAACCATATTCCAGTGTTGTCAATTGTCCCAGTAATGTCCTTTACAGCATTTCTCCTGCTCCTATAGAGAACCCGTCTAGGATCAGGTATTGCATTTGCTGCTCTGTCATTCTACTCTCCTTTAATCTGGAACATTGCCATAGCCTTTCCTTGTCTCTTATAACTTTGGTATTTTTGAAGAATGTAGTCACTTTCCCTCTCCCCCCAACTTTTTAAATAGAATGGTGCCTAATGTTTCCTCATGGCTAGATTTGGGTTATGTATCCTAGGCCAGAATGCTAGAGAGGCGATGCTGTGTCCCCCTCAGGGCAGCCCATCTCGAGGCATATGGTGCCTGTCTGTTTCTCAGTGGTGATGTTAATTTTCATCACCTGGTCAAGGTGTTGTTCAGTTTCTCCATGGGAGTGCCACCCACATTCCAGGAATGCTGCTAAGCATTCAACTTATATTTTTCACAATTAATCCTGATGGCAATTTGCAAGCTGGTCTTCAGTCTTCTCACTATCCAGATATGGCAACTAGTGCCCACCAAGATTGAGATTCCACAGCACATATGGGTGAGGCTGGTGTTCGGATATGGTGCATCTGACTTTCCACGTCTCCACTGTGTTTCCCAGACTGAGATGTTCTGATTAGGTTTCCATAAGCCAGCACCATCTTATGCTATCTGCTTTATTTATGAAACTCTGCCAAAGTGACTGCACAATATAGTAAGGCTAATGTGTGGTCTTCAGAGTTACCTACGTACGACCTTGAGCTTCTCAATATTCATATGTGGTAGAAAAATAGAGAAAATTCCCATTGTGAGCTGCTATATCAGGATTGGCAAACATAAGAAACTACAGTAACTGTAGAGTTATAATTTTTATTAAGGAAATCAGAAATATATATTTTCAATTCTCCAGAAGCATTTTGTTCCTGATTTCCAAGTCTCACTGCAATTACTAGTTAATAAAAACATGTTTTAATATGCTGGCAGAAAATTGATACTATTTCCAATCTGTGCCATGAAACAAATAAAATGTGGGGAGAAATTGAGCTCTCATTTCAGAAATGGGAAATGGATTTTTAAAAGTTCAGATCATTACCAAGGGTAATTTTCTTATAATAAGTTTAACACCTACTTGCTCAATGCAAAACTTTGCCAGGGAAAATTGTTACTTTTCAAACACAATAAAGAAGGCTGTAACCTATTCCAAGAGCTGTCTATTCTAAAAGTCATTGTGTGCTTAGGTCCAGCAGTCTGTGCCTGCCCAGGGCTGGGGCAGGGCCCATGGGACTGCAGGTGCCCCGCTCAGGGTGTGCGTTCCTCAGCAGGATGGAAAGGCAGTTGTCAGGTCCAACTGGAGGAGCTGCTTACTCCCCTGGGAGGCAGTGCCCTGCTTCATGCATGGCCACGAGTTTGAGTCCTGTCTTCTTCTAATAACCTTTGTGCTCTTGGAAATAAAGTATGAGAAACATTATTTATGTTCCCTGAAGGCTGACTCTCCCTACTTCTGGGCATATGGGGCAATTGTACTTCTTAGCCTCCTTGAAGCTAAGCATGGCCATGTGACTTGTTTGGCCAATATCAGGAATGGAGTCATATATGAATCATAGCTAGTATTGGGAATGGAACATAACTACAGGTTTTAATGCCATCAAAAAGATCATAAACAGCTGGGCATGGTGGCTCATGCTCTGATCCCAGCACTTTGGGAGGCTGAGGTGGGCAGATTGCTTGGGCTCAGGAGTTTGAGACCAGCCTGGGCAACATGGTGCAACCCCGTCATCTCTATCAAAAATACAAAAATTAGCCAGGTGTGGGGGCATGTGCCTATAGTCCCAGGTACTTGGTAGGCTGAGGTAGGAAGATCACTTAAGCTTGGGAGGTTGAGTTTGCAGTGAGCTGAGATTGCATCACTGCATTCTATCCTGGGTGACAGAGCAAAACCTTGTCTCAAAAAAAAATTTTCATAAATATTATGAATAATTTTATGCCAGTAAATTTTATAATTTAGATGAAATAAATTTCTGAAAGACATTGAAAATGACACAAAAATATGAACAGTGAAATTTTTCTTAAAATCTTTCTCACAAAGAGGCTTTTCTGGTGAATTCTTCAGAACATTTGTTATTCAGAAGAAATAAGACAGATATTACACAAAGTCTTCTAGAAAATAGAAGAAGTGAGAATATGCTTAATTAGTACCATGAGATTAGAATAAACATCATACAAATACTGGATAGTAACAGAAAGAAAAATCACAAGTCATATGGTTTGGCTGTGCCCCCACCCAAACGTCATCTTGAATTGTAGCTCCCATAATCCCCACCTGTTGTGGGAGGGACCCGGTAGGAGGTAATTGAATTATAGGGATGGGTTTTTCCCTTGCTATTTCCCTGATGGTGAATAAGTCTCACGAGATCTGATGGTTTTATAAAGGGCAGTTCCCCTGCACACGCTCTCTTGCCTGCCACCATATAAGGTGTGCCTTTGCTCCTCCTTTGCCTTCCACCATGATTGTGAGGCCTCCCCAGGCATGTGGAACTGTGAGCCCATTAAACCTCTTTTTCTTTATAAATTATCCAGTCTTGGATATGTCTTTATTAGCAATGTGAAAACAAACTAATACAACAAGTAAATTTCACTTATGAAGGTAGTTGTAAAAAGTCCTAAACAAAATATTTTCAGAAAAGGAAGCGATATCATTTTAATTTTTTACCCAGGATTGTAAAATTGGTATAACTTTAGGAAATTAGTGCAATTCACCACATTATCAGAATGAAGAAGAGATGGAGAAAAATCACTCGATAGAGTTTCAATAACTCATTCATGACAAAAGCGTTCAGTAAACTGGAAATAAGTGGCAAGTTCCTTAATATAGTAAAAAATACCTTTAAAGATAACTCTGGCAAAATCATTCTTCATTGTGGCATATTGAAAGCTTTCCTCCTGGGATTGATGACAAGAAAGAAATGCCTCTGTCACTGCCTCTACTGGGTGGTGTTCTGGACATTCTAGACAGTGCAATAAGGCAAGAAAAAAATAGCAATAAAAGTAATTAAGATATGAATATAATAAATAAGACTATCATTATTTGCAGATGACATGATTGTATATATAGTAAATCCAAAAGAATCTCTAGTTAAAAGAATTAGAATGAATAAGTGAAATTAACAATGTAGGCAATACAAGGCTTGTATGAAAATTAATTTTATTTCTATATGCCAGCAATTAACAATTAAAAATTGAAATTTAAAAAGATGCCATTTATAATAGTGACAAAATAATAAAAATCCTACAAAGAAATTTTTAAAAATTTGCAAAACTCTACATAGAAAATTTTAAAACATTATTGAGAGAAATTAAATAAGATCTAAATAAATTGAGAGCTATGTCATATTCATAGAGTGGGAGATTTAAAATTTGTATGGAAATGAAGGGTCCAGAGACCTAAGACAGTCTTGAAAAAACAAACAGAAAGCCCAACACACAAAATAAAACCCCAAACACACACACACACACAGACGTACACACACACACACACACGTGCACATACAAACTCTTGTGACTATCAGGTATCTGATTTCTTGAAACAATGTGGTAGCATTCAAGAATGGACAATGAGACCAGTGGAACAGAATAGAGTCCAGAAACAGCCCCGTATGTAACAGTCACTTGATTTCCCCACAGATAACACTGCAGTGCATTGGGAAAGGATGGAGGCTTCTATCAAAGATGCTAGTGTCCATATGGGAAAACCATCTTGCCCTCTGCACAACATACAAAAATAATCCCACAAGCAAAAAAAAACCTGAATTTCAAATAGATTGCAGATCTAAATACATCTCAGTAGGATCACAGATCTAAACAAAAGTTGTAGAAGAATAGCACAATTGTCTACATGAACTTGAATAAGCAGAGGCTTCTCTAAATGAGAAACAAAGATGGTAGACACAAAGGAAAAGATTGATCAAATGGACTATGTTAAAATTAAGACCTTTTAAAGAAATCAAAAGATACCTTTAAGAGAGTGAAAAGTCAGCCCCGAAAATGGGAGAATGTATTTTAATAGACATAATATAACAAAGAACTAGGATCTAGACTATATAAAGAACTCCTACAAATCAGTAAGAAAAGAACAACAACCCAATAACAAAATGAGGGGAAAAACAAACCAAAAATCAAAAATTGACTAGGTACTTCACAAAAGAGACGTCCAAATGGCCAATAAACATTTGAAATGATGCTCAACCTCTTAAGTTATTAGATTCAAATTAAACTATGGTGTGATGTCTACCTCTACATTACCTTTAAAAGCTACACTGCTGGTGAAGATGTCGAACAACAGAGACACTTCTGCACAGCTGGTGGAGGTGCAAATGGTATAATCTCTTAGAAAACAGTTCAGCTTTATTTGCTAAAGCTGAGCCTACAACTGCCCAGTAGTTCCACATCTAGGCAATCTACTCAACATCACTTCATCCCACTGTGCCTCAGTGAATGTTGAAGCAGGCTGGGCATGGTCGCTCATGCCTATAATCCCAGCACTTTGGGGGTCCAAGGCGGGTGGATCACCTGAGGTCAGGAGTTCAAGACCAGCCTGGCCAACATGGCGAAACCCTGTCTCTACTAAAAATACAGTAATTAGCTGAGTGTGGTGGCAGGCACCTGTAATCCCAGCTACTCGGGAGGCTGAGGCAGGAGAATTGCTTGAACCCAGGAAGCAGAGGTTGCAGTGAGCTGAGATAGCGCCAATGCACTCCAGCCTGGGTGACAGAGTGAGACTCCATCTAAACAAAACAAAACGAAACAAAACAAAAAAACAATGCTATAGATGCAGAAAAAAAGAGAATACTATAGATGCAGAAAAGGCCTTTAAAAAAATTCAGCAGCCCTTCATGCTAAAAACTCTCAATAAACTAGGTATTGATGGAACGTATTTCAAAATAATAAAAGCTATTTATGACAAACTCACAGCCAATATCATACTAAATGGGCAGAAACTGGAAGCATTCCCTTTGTAAACCGGCACAAGACAAAGATGCCCTCTCTCACCACTCCTATTCAACATAGTGTTGGAAGTTCTGGCCAGGGAAATCAGGAAAGAGAAAGAAATAAAGGGTATTCAATTAGGAAAAGAGGAAGTCAAATTGTCCCTGTTTGCAGATGACATGATTGTATATTTAGAAAACCACATTGTCTCACCCCAAAACCTCCTTAAGCTGATAAGCAACTTCAGCAAAGTCTCAGGCTACAAAATCAATGTGCAAAAATCACAAGCATTCTTATACACCAATAACAGACAAACAGAGAGCCAAATCATGAGTGAACTCCCATTCACAGTTGCTTCAAAGAGAATAAAATACCTAGGAATCCAACTTACAAGGGATGTGAAGGACCTCTTCAAGGAGAACTACAAACCACTGCTCAACGAAATAAAAGAGGACACAAACAAATGGAAGAACATTCTATGCTCATGGATAGGAAGAATCAATATCATGAAAATGGCCATACTGCCCAAGGTAATTTATAGATTCAATGCCATTCCC
The DNA here is from genome assembly GCF_000001405.40 of Homo sapiens. Classification (NCBI taxonomy): domain Eukaryota; kingdom Metazoa; phylum Chordata; class Mammalia; order Primates; family Hominidae; genus Homo; species Homo sapiens. The sequence goes on along the minus strand of NW_025791762.1, from coordinate 15,507 downwards.
ATCAAGCTACCAATGACTTTCTTCACAGAATTGGAAAAAAAACTACTTTAAAGTTTCATATGGAACCAAAAAAGAGCCCACATTGCCAAGACAATCCTAAGTAAAAAGAACAAAGCTGGAGGCATCATGCTACCTGACTTCAAACTATACTACAGGGCTACAGTAACCAAAACAGCATGGTACTGGTACCAAAACAGAGATATAGACCAATGGAACAGAATAGAGGCCTCAGAAATAATACCACACATCTACAACCATCTGACTTTGACAAACCTGACAAAAACAAGAAACGGGGGAAAGGATGACCTATTTAATAAATGGTGCTGGGAAAACTGGCTAGCCATATGTAGAAAGCTGAAACTGGATCCCTTCCTTACACCTTATACAAAAATTAATTCAAAATGGATTAAAGACTTAAATGTTAGACCTAAAACGATAAAAGCCCTAGAAGAAAACCTAGGCAATACCATTCAGGACATAGGCATGGGCAAGGACTTCATGACTAAAACACCAAAAGTAATGGCAACAAAAGCCAGAATAGACAAATGGGATCTAATTAAACTAAAGAGCTTCTGCACAGCAAAAGAAGCTACCATCAGAGTGAACAGGCAACCTACAGAATGGGAGAAAATCTTTGCAATCTACCCATCTGACAAAGGGCTAATATCCAGAATCTACAAAGAACTTAAACACATTTACAAGAAAAAAACAAACAGCCCCAACAAAAAGTGGGCAAAGGATATGAACAGACACTTCTCAAAAGAAGATATTCATGCAGCCAACAGATAGATGAAAAAATGCTCATTGTCACTAGTCATCAGAGAAAGGCAAATCAAAACCACAATGAGATACCATTTCATGCCAGTTAGAATGGCGATCATTAAAAAGTCAGGAAACTATGGATGCTGGAGAGGATGTGGAGAAATAGGAACGCCTTTACACTGTTGGTGGGAGTGTAAATTAGTTCAACCATTGTGGAAGACAGTGTGGCGATTCCTCAAGGATCTAGAACTAGAAATACCTTTTGACCCAGTGATCCCGTTACTGGGTATATACCCAAAGGATTATAAATCATGCTACTATGAAGACACATGCACATGCATGTTTATTGTGGCACTATTCACAATAGCAAAGACTTGGAACCAACCCAAATGTCCATCAATCATAGACTGGATTAAGAAAATGTGGCACATATGCACCAAGGAATATTATGCAGCCATAAAAAAGGATGAGTTAATGTGCTTTGCAGGGACATGGATGAAGCTGGAAACCATCATTCTTAGCAAACTATCACAAGGACAGAAAACCAAACACTGCATGTTCTCACTTATAGGTGGGAATTGAACAATGAGAACACTTGGACACAAGGTGGGGAACATCACACACTAGGGCTTGTTGGGGGGTGGGGGCTGGGGGAGGGATAGCATTAAGAGAAATACCTAATGTAAATGATGAGTTGATGGGTGCAGCCAACCAACATGGCACATGTATACCTATGTAACAAATCTGCACGTTGTGCACATGTACCCTGGAACTTACCAACAAGGCACATGTATACCTGTGTAACAAACCTGCACGTTGTGCACGTGTACCCTACAACTTAAGTATATATAAAAAAAGAATGTCAAAGCAACATTCAAAAATTGAACACAACCCATATCCATCAATAGTAAAATGAATAAATACATTGTAGTTTGCATATGTGACAAAATTCTATTTGGAAGTGAGACTGAATCTTGAGCATGTGATTTATGCAACACTAATCTCACAAAACGTTGAAAAAAAGCAGGCAAAAGAGATTATGCATTGTACAATCCCATTGATATAAAGTTAAGAGCCGGCCAAACAAATCTGTGGTGTTAGAAGTCAGGGTTAATTGTTCTCCTTGTGTGCTAGGGAGGGTTTCTGGGGGGATGCTAATATCTTGTTCTGCTCTATGAGGTGTTCACTTTGTGAAAAGTCATCTTGTACACTGATGATTTGTGCACTCTGTTGAATATGTATGTTATCCTTCAATAACATTTTTCATAAAAACAGACAGTGACACATACATATATACAAGTGGCAAAAATAGCAGTATACAGAATCTCTCTCTCTCTCTCTTTTTTTGATGGGGTCTCACTCCTGTTGCCCAGGCTGGAGTGCAGGGGCGCAATCTGGGCTCACTCTAACCTCTGCCTCTCGGGCTCAAGTCATCCTCCCACTTCAAGTCATCCTCCCACCTCAGCCTCCCGAGTACCTAGGAGCACAGGCGTGCACCACCATTCCTAGCTAATTTTTTGTATTTTTGGTAGAGATGGGGTTTTGCCATGTTGCCCAGGCTGGTCTTGAGCTCCTGGGCTCAAGTGATTCACCTGCCTCGGCCTCCCAAAGTGCTGGGATTACAGGTGTGAGCTACTGCATCCCGCCCAGAATATATTTTCGCATAATCAAATATTGCATCCAAATAATGCATTTTAGTAGTAAAAAAACCCTGCAAATATTATGGTTTTTGAAATTGGATTTCTGAATGTTTCATGAGGCTGAGCATCTTATCAAATATTTACTGGCCATTTGGGTTTTTTCCCTTCTGGAAATGTCTGTTCCTATTCTTCATCCATTTTTATTGTTTTGTGTCTTTTAAAAATTGATTTGGAAGAATTTTCATATTATAGAAATGAATCCTTTGTGATGTGCCTGCAAATCTTTCTGTGACTACTGCTACTGTTTGGTTTATGGTTTTATTTTGTGCAGAGATTTTAATATTAATATGGTCAAAATTAACAATTTTCTCCTTTAAATAGTATATGATTTAGCTCTTGTTTAAGATATCTTTTCTTACTCTAAGGTTGTAAAGGTATTCTGTGTATTTTAAAATACAATTTTAAGGGTTTGTTATTCACATTAACTCCACTTTCAATCTTTGTTGAGTGTAAATTAGGTAGATTATTCTATTTATTGGAGGAATAAAGTTAAACAATTGTCACAGTATCACCTATTGAAAATATTTTTCCTCATTTATTTGAAATGTTTTCTCTGTCTTTAACAAGTTTCAAAAGATGTTTCTGGGCTTTCTAATTTGTCCCCTCCCCCTTTTCATTTGCTTATCTTATGACGAATATATTATCTTAAATTCAGAATCACCTGAGTAGGATTTCAATGGGAATTGTACTGAGTTTGGGGCAGAAGAGACATCTTTTTTTTTTTTTTTTTTTTTTTCGAGATGGAGTCTCACTCTGTTGCCCAGGCTGGAGTGCAATGGTGAGATATTGGCTCACTGCAACCTCCACCTCCCAGATTCAAGCGATTCTCCTGCCTCAGCCTCCCGAGTAGCTGGGATCACAGGCATCTGCCACCACGCCCAGCTAATTTTTGTATTTTTAGTAGAGATGGGGTTTCACCATATTGGCCAGGCTGGTCTTGAACTCCTGACCTCAGGTGCTCTGCCTACCTCAGCATCCTAAAGTGCTGGTATTACAGGCTTGAGCCACCGCCCCTGGCCCAGACATCTTTACAATATTGAGGTATACAGTTCATGAACCAGGCATACATCTCCATTTAGTTGTTCTATCACCCATCAAATAGATTTTGTAATTTTCTCCATGAAGAGCTTATACTTTGTTAGATTTATTCCTAGTTTCTTATTTAAAATTTCTTTTTGTAAACAGGATCTTTTTATTTTTACATTTTTAATGGATTATTGGTAGTGTATAGGAATGCTATTGATTTTTGTAGACTGTATCAAAAGTCTTGCTACATTCTCTTATTAATTCTGATGGTTTGTGGAGTCTTCATACAAGGACAGTTTATCTTTATTTAGACAGCTTGTACACACCTGATTTCCCATTGTTATCTGACCTGTTTGTTAAGACTCCCATTAGAATGCTGATAGCTCCTGCTCCCCACGTGAAATGAGAAAGCTCTGTGGCTGTGGTCATTGCATGATGCTTACCTTAGTGTTTGCACAGATGCTCTCCATGACATTGATTCTAGTCCTCGTTGAGTTTTGTTTCTTTAAAAAATTGAGTAAATATTTATTCGTTTAATTAATATTTTGCTAATTGGGTTGTGACTTCTTATTACTGAGTTTTGAGAGTTCCCTATATATGCCAGAGACAAATCTTATATCAGATATATGATTTACAAATATTTTCTTCTAATCTGTGGTATGTCCTTTCATACTTTTAACAGTCTTTCAATGAGCAGACTTTATTTCGATGAGGTCCAAATTATCAATTTTTAAATTTATGAGTCATTCTTTTGGTTTAATATCTGGAACATATTTGTTTAATACAGAGGTTGATAAAACTTTTCTACAAACAGCCAGAAAATAAATAGGCTTTGTGGGACATATATAGTCTCAGCATTTTTTTAAAAATTTATTTTATTAAACACCTTTTCCCCAATCCTTTAAATATGCAAACTCACTTATTTCATAGTTGCTGCAGGCTAGATCTGGCAGATAAGCAAGTAATTTGCTGACCCTTGTAGGTTTATCCCTAAGTGTTTCATGATTTTTGATGCTATTATAAATGATATTTTAAAATATGAATTTACAGTTGTTTGTCGCTTGTAGATACAAATGAATTTGATTTTTATATACTGATTTATTATGGAGAGAGAACATAAATCACTTGAAAACTTTTATTTTATTTCAATTAAAAGTATAATTTTAAACAAACAATAGTTGTATATATTTTGGGGGTACAATGTGATGTTTCCCATTATGTGTATGATGTGGGACCATCAAATCAGGCCAATTAGCATGTACTTCACCTCAAATATTTATCATTTCTCTGTGGTGAGGATATTTAAAAGTCTCTCTTTTAGCTATTTGGAAATACATTATTATTAACTATAGTCACTATACTGTGCAATAGAACACCAGAATGCATTTCTCCTATCTGACTGTAACTTTGTACCTGTTGACTAATATCTTCTCTTTCCCTGTCCACTGACCCCCAGACCACCAGCCGCTGGTAACCACCATTCTACTCTCTATTTCTGTGTGTTTGACATTTTTATATTCCACATAAAAGTGAGATTATATGGCATTTGGCTTTCTGTGCCTGGCTTATTTCACTTAACATAATCTCCAGGTTCATGCATGTTGTCCCAAATGACAGAATTCTGGTTTTGTTTTTTTTTTTTAGGCTGAATAGCATTCCATTGTGAATATTTACCACATTAAAAAAATCCATTCATTCGTTGACGGACACTGAGGTTGTTTCCATAGCTAGGCTATTCTTACTAGTGCTGCAATGAACATGGAGTGCAGACATCTCTTCGGCATACTGAGTTCAGTTTCTTTGGGTGTGTACCCAGTAGTGGGATTGCTGGATCACATAGCAATTTTATTTTTAGGCTTTTGAGGGACCTCCATACTGTTTTTCAAAACGTCTATACTAATTTATAATGCCACCAACAATGTACAATCTGTACATTTTCTCCATATCCTTGCCAACACATGTTATCTTTCATTTTTTTGGTAATAGCCATTCTAACAGTGTGAGGTGATATCTCATTGTGGTTTTCCTTTGTATTTCTCTGATGGCTAGAGACAAGCATTTTTTTTGTTTGTTTGTTTTTTGAGATGGAATCTCACTCTGTTGCCCAGGCTGGAGTACAATGGTGTGATCTCAGATCACTGCAACCTCCACCTCCCAGGTTCAAGTGATTCTCCTGCCTCAGCCTCCCCAGTAGCTGGGACTATAGGTGCATCCCACCACGCCCAGCTAATTTTTGTATTTTTAGTAGAGATGGGGTTTCACCATGTTGGCCAGGCTGGTCTTGAACTCCTGACCTCAGGTGATCTGCCTGCCTTGGCGTCCCAAAGTGCTGGGATTACAGGTGTGAGCCACCATGCCCGGGCAACATTTTTGATATATCTGATGACCATTTGTATGTCTTCTTTTGAGAAATGTCTATTCAATTCCTTTGCTACTTTTTTTGTCTTTAAATTAAAAAAAATTAATTTTTAATTTTCTGTAGCTACATAGTAGGTGTATATATTTATGAGTTGCATGAGATGTTTTAATACAGGCCTACAATGTGAAATAATCACATCATGGAGAGTGGGGTATCCATCCCCTCAAGCATTTATTCTTTGTGTTACCAACAATCCAATTATACTCTTTTAGTTATTTTAAAAATTACAATTAAACTATTATTGACTATAGTCCCCCTGTTGTGCTATCAAGTGTTAGGTCTTATTTGTTCTTCTAACTATTGTTTTTTGTACCCATTAGTCATCCTCACCTCCCACCCACACCTCCACTACCCTTATGGCTGAATAGTACTCCACAGTGTGTATATATCACATTTTCTTTATCCATTCATCTGTCAATGGACACTTAGGTTGCTTCCAAATCTTAGCTACTGTGAACAGAGCTGCAACAAACCTGGGAGTGCAGATATCCCTTTGATACCCTGATTTCCTTTTTCTTGGGGTATGTATCCAGCAGTGGGATTGCTAGATTATATGATAGCTCTATTTTTATTTTTTTGAGGAACTTCCAAACTCTTCTTCTTGGTGGTTGTACTAATTTACATTCCCACCAGCAGTATACGAGGCTTCCCTTTTCTCCCTATCCTCACCAGCATTTGCTATTTCCTGTCTCTTGGATAAAAGCCATTTTAACTGGGGTGACATGATATCTCATTGTAGTTTTGATTTGTATTTCTCTGATAATCAATGATGTTGAGCCCCTTTCATATGCCTGTCTGCCATTGTATGTCTTCTTTTTAGAAATGTCTATTCAAATCTTTTGCCCATTTTTTGATTGGATTACTAGATTTTTTTTCTGTAGACTTGTTTGAGCTCCTTATGTATTCTGGTTATTAATACCTTGTTAGATGGGTAGTTTGCAAGTATTTTCTTCCATTCTGCAGTTTGTCTCTTCACTTTGTTGATTGTTTCCTTTGCTGTGCAGAGGCTTTTTAACTTGAGGTAACCCCATTTGTCCATTTTTGCTTTGGTTGCCTGCTTGTACTTATGAAGTGTTGCTCAAGAAAATTTTGCCCAGACCAATGTCCTGGAGAGTTTCCTCAATATTTTCTTGTGGCAGTTTTATAGTTTAATGTCTTCGATTTAGTTCTTTTTTTTTTTTTGAGACAGGGTCTCACTGTGTTACCCAGGCTGGAGAGTAGTGGCACCATCTTGGCTCATTGCAATATCTGCCTCCCAGATTCAAGCCATTCTTGTGCCTCAAACTCCCGAGTAGCTGGACTTACAGGTGCACACCACCATGCCCAGCTAATTTTTGTATTTTTAGTAGAGACAGGCTTTCAACCTGTTGGCCAGGCTGGTCTCCAACTCTTGACGTCAAGTGATCTGCCCACCTGGGCCTCCCAAAGTGCTGGCTGGGATTACCGGCATGAGACCCCACCCAGCCAATTTAAATTCTTTTAATCCATTTTGATTTGATTTTTGTATATGGCGAGAGACAGGGGTCTAGTTTCATTCTTCTGCATATGGATATCCAGGTTTCCCAGCACCATTTACTGAAGAGACTGTCTTTTCTGCAGTGTATATTCTTGGCACCTTTGTCAAAAATGAGTTTACTGCTTGTTTATGAATTTATTTCTGGGTTCTCTATTCTGTTCCATTGGTCTATGTGTCTGTTTTTTTTACCAGTACCATGCTGTTTTGGTTACTATAGCTTATAGTATAATTTGAAGTCAGGTAATGTGATTCCTCCAGTTTTGTTCTTTTTGCCTTTGCCCATTTTTTAATAGAATTATTCATTTGCTTGTTGACTACTTTGAGTTCCTTGTATATTTTGGATATTAACCCTTTATCTGCTGTATGATTTGCAAATATCTTCTCCCAGTCTGTCGGCTGTGTCTTCACTCTATGAATTGTTTTCCTTGCTGTGCAAAAGTTTTTTAGTTTACTGTAATCCTATTTGTCTATTTTTGCTTTTGTTTACTATGCTTTTGGAATTATGCAGAAATTTCTGTCCAAACCAATGTCATGGAGCTTTCCCCCTATGCTTTCTTCTAGTAGTTTTGTAGCTTTAGGTCTCACATTTAAGTCCTTAATTTATTTTGAGATGATTCTTGTATAAGGAGTGAGACGAGAGTCCATTTTCATTCTTCTGTTTTGAATATACAATTACACCATTTATTGAAGAGACTGTTCTTTCCCCATTGTGTGCTTTTGGCAATTTGGTTGAAAATCAATTAGCTATTGATGTATGAGTTTATTTCTGGGCTCTTCATTCTATTTCATTGGTTGATGTGCCTGTTTTTATGTTAGTACCATGCAGTTTCGATTACTTTTGCTTTGTAATAGATTTTGAAATCTGGTAGTGTTTTGCCTCTAGCTTTGTTCTTTTTGGTCCAGATTGCTTTGGCTCTTCAGAGTTTCTTGTGGCTCCATGCACATTTTAGGACTAATTTTTCTATTCTGTGAAGGGAGACATTGGAATTTTGATAGAGGTTGCATTAAATCTGTGGATTATTTTGGGTAGCATGAACATTTTAACAATATGAATTCTTCCAATCCATGAACATGAGATATCTTTCCATTTATTTGTGTCATCTTAATTTTCTCATTCATGTTTTATAGTTTTCAGCATACAGATTTTTTCACTTCTTTGTTGAAATTTACTCCTAAGTATTTCATTTTATTTTTTGATGATTGTGAATTTTTTTTTTTTTTTTTTTTTTTTGAGATGCAGTCTCACTGTGTCGCCCAGGCTGGAGTGCAGTGGTGTGATCTTGGCTCACTGCAAGCTCTGCCTCCTGGGTTCTCCTGCCTCAGCCTCCCGAGTAGCTGGGACTACAGGCGCCTGCCACCACACCTGGCTTTTTTTTTTTTTTTTTTTCAATCTCTTCCGTGGTTTTATTAAAGGGTCTTTCATGTGTATTAAAAATGCAAAACATCTGCCCAATGCCAGTTTCAGAAATGCACAAATGTGAAAGGTTTGGTTTTTACAAGTTTTCTTTTTTTCTTTTTTTTTTTTTTAGTATTTATTGATCATTCTTGGGTGTTTCTCGGAGAGGGGGATTTGGCAGGGTCATAGGACAATAGTGGAGGGAAGGTCAGCAGATAAACATGTGAACAAGGGTCTGTGGTTTTCCTAGGCAGAGGACCCTGCGGCCTTCCGCAGTGTTTGTGTCCCTGGGTACTTGAGATTAGGGAGTGGTGATGACTCTTAACGAGCATGATGCCTTCAAGCATCTGTTTAACAAAGCACATCTTGCACCGCCCTTAATCCATTTAACCCTGAGTGGACACAGCACATGTTTCAGAGAGCACCGGGTTGGGGGTAAGGTTATAGATTAACAGCATCCCAAGGCAGAAGAATTTTTCTTAGTACAGAACAAAATGGAGTCTCCTATGTCTACTTCTTTCTACACAGACACAGTAACAATCTGATCTCTCTTTCTTTTCCCCACATTTCCCCCTTTTCTATTCGACAAAACCCCCATTGTCATCATGGCCTGTTCTCAATGAGCTGTTGGGTACACCTCCCAGACGGGGTGGTGGCCGGGCAGAGGGGCTCCTCACTTCCCAGACGGGGCGGCAGGGCAGAGGCACCCCCCACCTCCTGGACGGGGTGGCGGCAGGGCGGAGGCGTCCCCCACCTCCCTCCCAGACGGGGCGGCTGGCCGGGTGGGGGCTGCCCCCCACCTCCTGGACTGGGCGGCTGCTGGGCGGAGTCGCTCCTCACATCCCAGATGGGGCAATGGGGCAGAGGCGCTCCCCACATCTCAGATGATGGGCGGCCAGGCAGAGATGCTCCTCACTTCCTAGATGGGATGGCGGCTGGGAAGAGGCGCTCCTCACTTCCTAGACTGGGCGGCAGGGCAGAGGGGCTCCTCACATCCCAGACGGGGTGGCGGCCAGGCACAGGCTGCAATCTCGGCACTTTGGGAGGCCAAGGCAGGCAGCTGGGAGGTGGAGGTTGTGGCCAGCCGAGATCACGCCACTGCACTCCAGCCTGGGCAAGATTGAGCACTGAGTGAGCGAGACTCCGTCTGCAATCCCGGCACCTCGGGAGGCCCAGGCGGGCAGATCACTCGTGGTCAGGAGCTGGAGACCAGCCCGGCCAACACGGCGAAACCCCATCTCCACCAAAAAATACACAAACCAGTCAAGCCTGGCGGCACGCGCCTGCAATCCCAGGCACTCGGCAGGCTGAGGCAGGAGAATCAGGCAGGGAGGTTGCAGTGAGCCGAGATCGCGGCAGTACAGTCCAGACTCGGCTCGACATCAGAGGGAGACTGTGGGGGGGGGGGGGAGGAGGGAGAGCCTTTTTTTTTGTATTTTTAGTAGAGACTGGGTTTCACCGTGTTAGCCAGGATGGTCTTAATCTCCTGACCTCATGATCCACCCGCCTTGGCCTCCCAAAGTGCTGGGATTACAGGCATTTGTTGTTAGTGTAGAGAAGTGCTATTGATTTTTGCAAGTTGGTATTGTATCCTGCAACTCCACTGAATTTGCTCATCAGTCCTGCTTTTTGTATACTTGTTTAATAGTCCAGAATATGTTTTTTATCTTAGTAAGTGTCCTGTGTACACTAAAAAACTGCATTCAGCTCTCATTGTGTGAAGTGCTCTATAAACATCTTTTAGGTCAGGTTGGTTGATAGTGTGTGAAAATCTCCCAAATACCTTACTGATTTTCTGTCTCTGTGTTCTATCAATTATTAAGAGTGGGGCATTAAAATCTCTGACTACAATGGTGGATTGTCTATCTCTCCTTGGAATTCTATCAGTTTTGGCACCACGTATTTTGAAATTTTGTTATTAGGTGTATTGGCATTTAGTTTTATTGTTTCAGGTCTTAAAATTAAGTCTTTATTTTGAGTTGATTCTTGTATAAGGAGTGAGATAAAACTCTATTTTCCCAATTTTCTTTCTTTTTTTTTTTTTTTGAGACGGAGCTTTGCTTTTGTTGCCCAGGCTGGAGTGGAATGGCACAATCTCTGCTCACTGCAACCTCCACCTCCCAGGTTCAAGCAATTCTTCTGCCTCAGCCTCCTGAGCAGCTGGGATTACAGGTATGTGCTATCACGCCAGGCTAATTTTGTATTTTTAGTAGAGGCAGGGTTTCTCCATGTTTACTGGGACTACTCTCAGCCCCTAGAAGTTGCCTGCCTTTTCCTTCCCTATTGCCCCCTCCACAACATGGGAGTTTCTCTTTCAAGGACAGCAGAAATGTCTCTGCTATTTAGAATCTCTGATTTTCTCTGTCTCTGAACCAGCTGTATTGTGCTCTTGTTATTAGATTAGGCCCACAGGAAAATCTTTCTTTTGACTGACTCAAAGTCAACTGATTAGACTTCTTAGCTACATTGGCAAAACCCAATTTGCCATATAATGACACATAATCATGGGGTGGTATTCCGTAATACTCACAGGTTCTGTTCACACTCATAGGGAGGGAATCATGCAAGGTGTGTACATCAGGGGATGTGAATCTTGAGGGCCATCTTTGAATTCTGCCTACCACATTTCAATAATTTTTTTTTTGAGACAGAGTCTCACTCTGTCACCCAGGTTGGAGTGCAGTAGCACAGTCTTGGCTCACTGCAACCTCTGCCTCTCTGGTTCAAGCAATTATCTTGCCTTAGCCTCCCGAGTAGCTGGAATTACAGATGTGCACTGCCATGTCTGGCTAATTTTTGTATTTTTAGTAGAGATGGGGTTTTGCCATGTTGGCCAGGCTAGTCTTGAACTCCTGACCTCAAGTGAGCCACCTGCCTTGGCCTCCCTAAGTGCTAGGATTACAGGCATGAGCCACTGTGCCTGGCCTGGACCCCAATGATTTATAGCCCTTCCAAACATTCCCTAGAATCTAATCCCATTCAGACATCATTCCAAGTTTAAAATCTCATCAGGTAAATCAGGCCCAGATTTGGATGAGGCTTCTGGGTTAATTTTTTGAGACACATTTCCTCTCTATCCAAGAGAGAGGTGATCTCCCCAACACTCCCAGTATATGACGGTGGGACAGACATAGAGTGACAGTTATAGATGTTCCAGTTTAAAAAGGAGGAAAATGGAAGGTGAAACAGAAAGGAGTCACTGCTCCAAAGCAGTTTTGAAATCTAGCTGGATGACTTCCAGCCAGAGACCCTTGATTAGGTTTCCATGCCTGGGAATTATCCTTCCTTGCTCCTCAGTTATCTTGCTCACCCTCTGGGCTCTTGTTGGTTCTGTTCTCTGAGCTCTGAGTCATTCTTCCTTTTCATTAAAGGTAGGAGCATTTGCAGCTGAAGTTTCATCAACCCGCTTCCTGCTGCTGGAATCCTAAGGGTCTGACTGTCTTTTTAATTTCAGAGTCTCTCTGTTCCTTTTAGTCCAAGCTGGCAGTATTTCTTCCCAATTTTAGTCAAGAACCTTGTGGGGTTTGCATGAATTACACTGGGATTCAGACCATTAAGCAAAAGCCATGCCCACAGATCTCCTTTTAGTGGTCACTATTTTATTGCAATTGTACATATTTATGGGGTACAGTCTGATGTTTTGATAAACATATATTGTATACTGATCAAATTAGGGTAGTTAACATATCCATCACCTCATGCATTTATCATTGCTCTGTGGTGAGAACATTCAAAATTCTCTCTTCTAGCTATTTTATAATACACAGTACTGTACTGTCAATCCTCATCACTCCACAGTGCAATAGAACTTACTCCTCCTACATAATTGTAACTTTGTGCCCATTGAATAAACTCTCCTCATCCTCCCTTCTACCCTGCTTATCCCGTCTCTGGTAACCAGTGTTCTACCTCTGCTTCTGTGATGTCAACTTTTTTTTTTTTTTAAGATTCCACATGAGTGAAATCATGTGGTATTTATTTGTGTTTCTGTGTTTGGCTTATTTCACTTAAGATGGTGTCCTCTGGGTTCATCCAGGTTGTTGCAAATGACAGGATTCCATCCTTTGCATGGCTGATTAGTACTCCATTGTGTATATATACGACATTTTCTTTATCCATTTGTCTGCTGACACTTGGGTTGATTCCATATCTTGGAAGACATGTCTAGGAAGTTGCAAATGCTGCTACCTTTAATGAAAAGACATGTTATGGCCAACAGGTCTAGGAAAAAATGCTCAACATTCATCAGGGAAATGCAAATCAAAACCATAATGAGATACCACCTCATTCCATTTAGAATGGCTGTTATCAGAAAGACATAAGAAAACAAGTCAAGGGGTGTAGAGAAATGGGAACCCTTGTACACTCTTGGTGGGAATGTAAATTGGTACAGCCACTGTGGAAAGCAGTATGGAGATTCCTCAAAAAATAAAAATAGAATTACCATATGATCCAGCAATTCCACTCTTGGCAATATAAACCAAAGGAAATGAAATCAGTGTGTCAAAGAAATATCAGCACTTGTAAGTTTACTGCAGCACAGATCTTTTTGAGATAATCTCTTTGCTATATTTGGCTCTTGCTGATGCAGCTGAGGACCAGATGCTACAGGGCTGTGGTCCTCTGGTTTGGTTGAGAAGACCTGTGAGGCACATATGCTATCTCTTGAAAGAGCCCTTTGTACGACTGAATTCTCTGACTCATTGATCCTTCTGAGGTTTTAGCAAAAGGTTGTACAGTCACGCCCTCACCTTCTTTTCTCTGCCATGCCTTTGAAAGCAATCTCCTAATTTTATTGTCCGTAGCTATATGGATGGGCTGACAATTCCCCAAATCATCCAGTCCTGGTTGCTTTTTGTTTAATAGTGCTTTTCTCAAGTTATCTCCCTCCTCTCACATTTTACTATAAGCAGCAACAATGAACTCAGCCACATCTTCAACACTTTGCTGGGAAATCTCCTTAGCAATTTATTCAAGTCAGTCATGTATACCTTCTGCTTTCTGCCTAACTGCAGGGCACAATTTGCTAAGTTTCTGCCAATAAACAGTAAAGATTCCCCTTCTTTCAGTTTCCAATGACATGTCCCTCCTCTTCTTCTGAGGTCTCACCACTAGGATCCTCCAAGTACAGATTTCTACTAATAGTCTGTCCACTGCACTTCAGGCTTTTTCTGCCACGCTCCTCAACATTCTTAGAAGAATGCCTCTGCCTGCTGTCAGCTTCCACTGGCACAGCCACATTTTTAGGTATTTGTTACAGTACACCCCACTTTTAGGTAACAAAATGTGTATTGGTGCATAACAAATGACCACAAACGTAGAGGCTGGAACAGTGTGTCCATCAGTGTGCTGCTCTGTAGGCGAGAGGGATGATGATGTAATGCGTCTGCGCTCTCTGCTCAGTCTCGCCAGGCTGAAATCAGGGTGCTGGCTGAGTTTGTGTCTGCAGGCTCTGGGGAAGAATATGCTCTGAAGCTCATTCAGGTTGCCCGGCAGTCCTGGTTGCAGGGCTGAGGTCCCTGCCTCTTCACTGCCTGCCAGCTGGAGGCCCCCCAGCATCTGCAGGCTGCCCAGCTGGCTGGCTGATGGCTCTCTCCTCCTTCAACACCAACAATGGATAATTTCTCAGCCACGGAGTCTCTTTCTTTTCAAATCCCTTCTTCCGGGAAGAACCCTATTCCTTAATAAGGGATCACCGGATTAGGGGTTCTACCTAGGATAGCCTTTTTCTGAACTCAGCTGAATAGGGACATTGGTTACATCTGAAAAGTCTCTTCAGCGCAGCATGCAGATGAGTGCCTAACTAGGAGAAGGTGTGAACACACACAGGGACCAGAATCCCGGGGGCATCTGAGAGTTCCGCCTGCCACAGGGATTCTGAAAAGCCTCGGTTGATGGTGTATTTGTCCAGAGAAATTAGCCCTTGTTTCTGTGTTGGTTTCCAGGAATATAATATTTTGGGGACAGTTTAAGGTTAACTTCTTGGCTTAAATAGTATAAATTTCAAGTTCAAACCTGCATAAAAGCAGGGAAACGATTAGAAATTGTCAGGGAAATGTTTAGGCCAAGATAACAAAATTTCATGTTGTCATTTGATACGTGCAGGTAAATATTTTTCCAGTTATTGGTCTTTTGTTTTCTGAGGCAATGGCCCCTGGAGAGTCCTAACTTCACGCAGCAGTTCTCAGCTCCTCTCTATCCCATCCTCTCAATCTGCCCCATCCATTCCTGTTTGTAGAAACCCAATCTTCTGGGCTACCAGAGGGCCACCGTCCCCCACTTCTGCTGCTCCTGGCCCTAGGCGCAGGGCTTCATGTCACAGGCTGTCCATTCAATTTTCAGTGACTGCTTTTGTTTCTGAGGATTCCCTTACTTTTCATTTAAGTTCACGTTGCCTACAAATATGTTTTATTACATACTATCTGGTGCTGCTTTTTGATTGCAGTCGGAGGCAGATTCTTTCATCTGCCACACAGATGGGGGTGGGAGCTTTGTTCTCTCTGCCTGTGGTTTGAGGCCTCCTCATTTCTCCCTGCCTGGAGGCAGCAGACCCTCAGCGCTCTGTCCTCAGGGCCTGCCCTAATCCATGGCCTGCCCTAATCCACTTCCAGGCACCTGACAAAGTCACCTTTGGAAAATGTAAATCGGATCACAAAGCCTCTCGGCTTCAAGGTGCTGAGCCACGCCT